>NC_000001.11:228608364-228759879 GCF_000001405.40 Homo sapiens
GATCCTGGGACGCCCTCCGGTCCTCCGCCCTGTCGCGGAGGCAGCGTTTTGGATCCCTCGCCGCACAGGGGCTCCTGCGAGGCCCCCTCTTGCCCCACCCACCCAGAGCCGTCAGGGCTGGCCGAAGGCGAACAGCCGGCCCAGCCGCGCGGGGCCTTTCTCTCACAACGCCCCCACCACGGTCGCTTGTCCCGACCAAGACCCGGCCGGGGGGGCAAGAGGGCGTGGGGTGTAGCGGGTCGGGGGGTGGCCCTGTTTTGCCCCGGGCTGGCACTAGAGGCGGCGGCCTGATCTCGGGTGAGAGGGCCTGAGAGAAACCCAGACACACCCCACCGCCACCAGGAGCAAATCCACTCCCCCACACACAGACACACCCGGGCGCGCTCGCACGCGCGCGCGCGGACTCACACACACACACACAGACACACAGACACACACGCACACACGCACGCGCACACGCACGCACACACACACGCGGCTTGAAGGAGAGCAAGGACGAGATGGATGGAGAGATAGAAACCGAGGGAGGGAGAGAGACAGCGATCGAGAGAGACAGGGGAGGGCGAGAGGGAAGGAGACAGACAGAGAGGCTGAGAAAGAGAGAGGCACAGAGAAAGAGAGAGAGAGAGACAGAGAGACAGAGGGAAAACGACAAAAGTAGCGCGAGGTCCAGGGGGAAACCCAGAAGAGAGAGGCGGAGGGAGCTAGAGAGCGAGAGCGATAGAGCCTTAGAGAGGAAGCGCCCGGCTCCGTTAGGCAGCGCCCTCTTGAGCAGGCCGGGATAGGGTGGAGGGGGCTTGGGCTGCGCCCAGAACACGGGGGCCAGGCGGTCCGTGCGAGAGGACCAACGGAGCGCTGAGGCGGGCGTTTTCTTGGATGAATTGCTTGCTTTGGAGGTGGGTTTCGTAGGCTCCTGCCTTTCTTGGCACCTCCCTGTGCTCTGGGTGCCTTGCGGCGGGCCCCGAGATTTGCAGAGCGCGCCCGCCCGTTTGGCGGGAGCCGTGGCACCGGGCGGGCCCGGAGGCCTGGGTCTCTGGCGAGTCCTCGGGACTGGAGTCGTCGACACGAAGCGGGGGGCATTGGGAATCCCGGGTGCACAGGGCCTGTTTTCCCGGTGGCTGGCGAAGCAATGTCCTTCCCCCGGGTAAAGCAGCCCATGCGTTCCGGAGCCGACGTCTTGGCTGGCGTCTGTGGCACCCGCTGCCCCTGCCCGCCCCTTCCCCCGGTTTGGAAGGGTGCGACGACGGCGCCCGATGGGTGAATTGAATCGCCTGGGCGTTCCGGGAGCGGGAAGGCACCGCGAACGGCAGGGAACCCAGCGGCTGCGCCTTTGGGGTCCGGCCCCCTGCCCTCCCAGGCTGGAGCCGGGCTCCTGGCGGGGCGGCGGCGAGGCGGAAGCGGTGGGATGCTGCTGCCCGGCCGGCGTGCAGTAGGGGCGGACCCCCAGCAGGAGGACCCCGGCTGCGGCTGCGGCGGGGGTGTAGGTGGGCGGTAAAGGGGGAGCAGAGTCAGGGGAGGTTGGGAAGCATGGCGACTGTGGGGGGAAGGGAGGCAGCGGGGAAGCCACAAAAGCCTACAGCAGGCCGGGCGGGCGCGGTGGCTCGCGCCTGTAATCCCAGCACTCTGGGAGGCCGAGGCGGGTGGATCACGAGGTCAGGAGCTCCAGACCATCCCGGCTAACAGGGTGAAAGCCCGTCTCTAGGAAAAATAGAACAAAGTAGCCGGGCGTGGTGGCGGGCGCCTGTAGGCCCAGCTACTCGGGAGGCTGAGGCCGGGGAATGGCGTGAACCCGGGAGGCGGAGCTTGCAGTGAGCCGAGATGGCGCCACTGCACTCCAGCCTGGGCGACAGGGCGAGACTCCGTCTGGAAGAAAAGGAAAGAAACAGCAAAAAGCCAAAGAAAAAGCCTACAGCACCCGGTATTCCCAGGCGGTCTCCCATCCAAGTACTAACCAGGCCCGACCCTGCTTAGCTTCCGAGATCAGACGAGATCGGGCGCGTTCAGGGTGGTATGGCCGTAGACGCTGAAGGAGGCGCCTGGCTGCCCCAAGAGCCCAGCCCGGCCCGGCCGTGCCCGCCGGATTGCAGCCGACACCGCCAGCCCGGGGCCGCGGGGCTCGGATCGGGGACCCCCGAGCCGCTGGCCCGCGGCCTTCCCCCGGCTCCCGCGCTCCCGAGCTTCCACCACATCGGGCCCGCTCGGAGCAGGGAGTGCTCCGAGGCGTCAGGGCCCAGGGCCCACGATCCTGGGACGCCCTCCGGTCCTCCGCCCTGTCGCGGAGGCAGCGTTTTGGATCCCTCGCCGCACAGGGGCTCCTGCGAGGCCCCCTCTTGCCCCACCCACCCAGAGCCGTCAGGGCTGGCCGAAGGCGAACAGCCGGCCCAGCCGCGCGGGGCCTTTCTCTCACAACGCCCCCACCACGGTCGCTTGTCCCGACCAAGACCCGGCCGGGGGGGCAAGAGGGCGTGGGGTGTAGCGGGTCGGGGGGTGGCCCTGTTTTGCCCCGGGCTGGCACTAGAGGCGGCGGCCTGATCTCGGGTGAGAGGGCCTGAGAGAAACCCAGACACACCCCACCGCCACCAGGAGCAAATCCACTCCCCCACACACAGACACACCCGGGCGCGCTCGCACGCGCGCGCGCGGACTCACACACACACACACAGACACACAGACACACACGCACACACGCACGCGCACACGCACGCACACACACACGCGGCTTGAAGGAGAGCAAGGACGAGATGGATGGAGAGATAGAAACCGAGGGAGGGAGAGAGACAGCGATCGAGAGAGACAGGGGAGGGCGAGAGGGAAGGAGACAGACAGAGAGGCTGAGAAAGAGAGAGGCACAGAGAAAGAGAGAGAGAGAGACAGAGAGACAGAGGGAAAACGACAAAAGTAGCGCGAGGTCCAGGGGGAAACCCAGAAGAGAGAGGCGGAGGGAGCTAGAGAGCGAGAGCGATAGAGCCTTAGAGAGGAAGCGCCCGGCTCCGTTAGGCAGCGCCCTCTTGAGCAGGCCGGGATAGGGTGGAGGGGGCTTGGGCTGCGCCCAGAACACGGGGTCCAGGCGGTCCGTGCGAGAGGACCAACGGAGCGCTGAGGCGGGCGTTTTCTTGGATGAATTGCTTGCTTTGGAGGTGGGTTTCGTAGGCTCCTGCCTTTCTTGGCACCTCCCTGTGCTCTGGGTGCCTTGCGGCGGGCCCCGAGATTTGCAGAGCGCGCCCGCCCGTTTGGCGGGAGCCGTGGCACCGGGCGGGCCCGGAGGCCTGGGTCTCTGGCGAGTCCTCGGGACTGGAGTCGTCGACACGAAGCGGGGGGCATTGGGAATCCCGGGTGCACAGGGCCTGTTTTCCCGGTGGCTGGCGAAGCAATGTCCTTCCCCCGGGTAAAGCAGCCCATGCGTTCCGGAGCCGACGTCTTGGCTGGCGTCTGTGGCACCCGCTGCCCCTGCCCGCCCCTTCCCCCGGTTTGGAAGGGTGCGACGACGGCGCCCGATGGGTGAATTGAATCGCCTGGGCGTTCCGGGAGCGGGAAGGCACCGCAAACGGCAGGGAACCCAGCGGCTGCGCCTTTGGGGTCCGGCCCCCTGCCCTCCCAGGCTGGAGCCGGGCTCCTGGCGGGGCGGCGGCGAGGCGGAAGCGGTGGGATGCTGCTGCCCGGCCGGCGTGCAGTAGGGGCGGACCCCCAGCAGGAGGACCCCGGCTGCGGCTGCGGCGGGGGTGTAGGTGGGCGGTAAAGGGGGAGCAGAGTCAGGGGAGGTTGGGAAGCATGGCGACTGTGGGGGGAAGGGAGGCAGCGGGGAAGCCACAAAAGCCTACAGCAGGCCGGGCGGGCGCGGTGGCTCGCGCCTGTAATCCCAGCACTCTGGGAGGCCGAGGCGGGTGGATCACGAGGTCAGGAGCTCCAGACCATCCCGGCTAACAGGGTGAAAGCCCGTCTCTAGGAAAAATAGAACAAAGTAGCCGGGCGTGGTGGCGGGCGCCTGTAGGCCCAGCTACTCGGGAGGCTGAGGCCGGGGAATGGCGTGAACCCGGGAGGCGGAGCTTGCAGTGAGCCGAGATGGCGCCACTGCACTCCAGCCTGGGCGACAGGGCGAGACTCCGTCTGGAAGAAAAGGAAAGAAACAGCAAAAAGCCAAAGAAAAAGCCTACAGCACCCGGTATTCCCAGGCGGTCTCCCATCCAAGTACTAACCAGGCCCGACCCTGCTTAGCTTCCGAGATCAGACGAGATCGGGCGCGTTCAGGGTGGTATGGCCGTAGACGCTGAAGGAGGCGCCTGGCTGCCCCAAGAGCCCAGCCCGGCCCGGCCGTGCCCGCCGGATTGCAGCCGACACCGCCAGCCCGGGGCCGCGGGGCTCGGATCGGGGACCCCCGAGCCGCTGGCCCGCGGCCTTCCCCCGGCTCCCGCGCTCCCGAGCTTCCACCACATCGGGCCCGCTCGGAGCAGGGAGTGCTCCGAGGCGTCAGGGCCCAGGGCCCACGATCCTGGGACGCCCTCCGGTCCTCCGCCCTGTCGCGGAGGCAGCGTTTTGGATCCCTCGCCGCACAGGGGCTCCTGCGAGGCCCCCTCTTGCCCCACCCACCCAGAGCCGTCAGGGCTGGCCGAAGGCGAACAGCCGGCCCAGCCGCGCGGGGCCTTTCTCTCACAACGCCCCCACCACGGTCGCTTGTCCCGACCAAGACCCGGCCGGGGGGGCAAGAGGGCGTGGGGTGTAGCGGGTCGGGGGGTGGCCCTGTTTTGCCCCGGGCTGGCACTAGAGGCGGCGGCCTGATCTCGGGTGAGAGGGCCTGAGAGAAACCCAGACACACCCCACCGCCACCAGGAGCAAATCCACTCCCCCACACACAGACACACCCGGGCGCGCTCGCACGCGCGCGCGCGGACTCACACACACACACACAGACACACAGACACACACGCACACACGCACGCGCACACGCACGCACACACACACGCGGCTTGAAGGAGAGCAAGGACGAGATGGATGGAGAGATAGAAACCGAGGGAGGGAGAGAGACAGCGATCGAGAGAGACAGGGGAGGGCGAGAGGGAAGGAGACAGACAGAGAGGCTGAGAAAGAGAGAGGCACAGAGAAAGAGAGAGAGAGAGACAGAGAGACAGAGGGAAAACGACAAAAGTAGCGCGAGGTCCAGGGGGAAACCCAGAAGAGAGAGGCGGAGGGAGCTAGAGAGCGAGAGCGATAGAGCCTTAGAGAGGAAGCGCCCGGCTCCGTTAGGCAGCGCCCTCTTGAGCAGGCCGGGATAGGGTGGAGGGGGCTTGGGCTGCGCCCAGAACACGGGGGCCAGGCGGTCCGTGCGAGAGGACCAACGGAGCGCTGAGGCGGGCGTTTTCTTGGATGAATTGCTTGCTTTGGAGGTGGGTTTCGTAGGCTCCTGCCTTTCTTGGCACCTCCCTGTGCTCTGGGTGCCTTGCGGCGGGCCCCGAGATTTGCAGAGCGCGCCCGCCCGTTTGGCGGGAGCCGTGGCACCGGGCGGGCCCGGAGGCCTGGGTCTCTGGCGAGTCCTCGGGACTGGAGTCGTCGACACGAAGCGGGGGGCATTGGGAATCCCGGGTGCACAGGGCCTGTTTTCCCGGTGGCTGGCGAAGCAATGTCCTTCCCCCGGGTAAAGCAGCCCATGCGTTCCGGAGCCGACGTCTTGGCTGGCGTCTGTGGCACCCGCTGCCCCTGCCCGCCCCTTCCCCCGGTTTGGAAGGGTGCGACGACGGCGCCCGATGGGTGAATTGAATCGCCTGGGCGTTCCGGGAGCGGGAAGGCACCGCGAACGGCAGGGAACCCAGCGGCTGCGCCTTTGGGGTCCGGCCCCCTGCCCTCCCAGGCTGGAGCCGGGCTCCTGGCGGGGCGGCGGCGAGGCGGAAGCGGTGGGATGCTGCTGCCCGGCCGGCGTGCAGTAGGGGCGGACCCCCAGCAGGAGGACCCCGGCTGCGGCTGCGGCGGGGGTGTAGGTGGGCGGTAAAGGGGGAGCAGAGTCAGGGGAGGTTGGGTAGCATGGCGACTGTGGGGGGAAGGGAGGCAGCGGGGAAGCCACAAAAGCCTACAGCAGGCCGGGCGGGCGCGGTGGCTCGCGCCTGTAATCCCAGCACTCTGGGAGGCCGAGGCGGGTGGATCACGAGGTCAGGAGCTCCAGACCATCCCGGCTAACAGGGTGAAAGCCCGTCTCTAGGAAAAATAGAACAAAGTAGCCGGGCGTGGTGGCGGGCGCCTGTAGGCCCAGCTACTCGGGAGGCTGAGGCCGGGGAATGGCGTGAACCCGGGAGGCGGAGCTTGCAGTGAGCCGAGATGGCGCCACTGCACTCCAGCCTGGGCGACAGGGCGAGACTCCGTCTGGAAGAAAAGGAAAGAAACAGCAAAAAGCCAAAGAAAAAGCCTACAGCACCCGGTATTCCCAGGCGGTCTCCCATCCAAGTACTAACCAGGCCCGACCCTGCTTAGCTTCCGAGATCAGACGAGATCGGGCGCGTTCAGGGTGGTATGGCCGTAGACGCTGAAGGAGGCGCCTGGCTGCCCCAAGAGCCCAGCCCGGCCCGGCCGTGCCCGCCGGATTGCAGCCGACACCGCCAGCCCGGGGCCGCGGGGCTCGGATCGGGGACCCCCGAGCCGCTGGCCCGCGGCCTTCCCCCGGCTCCCGCGCTCCCGAGCTTCCACCACATCGGGCCCGCTCGGAGCAGGGAGTGCTCCGAGGCGTCAGGGCCCAGGGCCCACGATCCTGGGACGCCCTCCGGTCCTCCGCCCTGTCGCGGAGGCAGCGTTTTGGATCCCTCGCCGCACAGGGGCTCCTGCGAGGCCCCCTCTTGCCCCACCCACCCAGAGCCGTCAGGGCTGGCCGAAGGCGAACAGCCGGCCCAGCCGCGCGGGGCCTTTCTCTCACAACGCCCCCACCACGGTCGCTTGTCCCGACCAAGACCCGGCCGGGGGGGCAAGAGGGCGTGGGGTGTAGCGGGTCGGGGGGTGGCCCTGTTTTGCCCCGGGCTGGCACTAGAGGCGGCGGCCTGATCTCGGGTGAGAGGGCCTGAGAGAAACCCAGACACACCCCACCGCCACCAGGAGCAAATCCACTCCCCCACACACAGACACACCCGGGCGCGCTCGCACGCGCGCGCGCGGACTCACACACACACACACAGACACACAGACACACACGCACACACGCACGCGCACACGCACGCACACACACACGCGGCTTGAAGGAGAGCAAGGACGAGATGGATGGAGAGATAGAAACCGAGGGAGGGAGAGAGACAGCGATCGAGAGAGACAGGGGAGGGCGAGAGGGAAGGAGACAGACAGAGAGGCTGAGAAAGAGAGAGGCACAGAGAAAGAGAGAGAGAGAGACAGAGAGACAGAGGGAAAACGACAAAAGTAGCGCGAGGTCCAGGGGGAAACCCAGAAGAGAGAGGCGGAGGGAGCTAGAGAGCGAGAGCGATAGAGCCTTAGAGAGGAAGCGCCCGGCTCCGTTAGGCAGCGCCCTCTTGAGCAGGCCGGGATAGGGTGGAGGGGGCTTGGGCTGCGCCCAGAACACGGGGTCCAGGCGGTCCGTGCGAGAGGACCAACGGAGCGCTGAGGCGGGCGTTTTCTTGGATGAATTGCTTGCTTTGGAGGTGGGTTTCGTAGGCTCCTGCCTTTCTTGGCACCTCCCTGTGCTCTGGGTGCCTTGCGGCGGGCCCCGAGATTTGCAGAGCGCGCCCGCCCGTTTGGCGGGAGCCGTGGCACCGGGCGGGCCCGGAGGCCTGGGTCTCTGGCGAGTCCTCGGGACTGGAGTCGTCGACACGAAGCGGGGGGCATTGGGAATCCCGGGTGCACAGGGCCTGTTTTCCCGGTGGCTGGCGAAGCAATGTCCTTCCCCCGGGTAAAGCAGCCCATGCGTTCCGGAGCCGACGTCTTGGCTGGCGTCTGTGGCACCCGCTGCCCCTGCCCGCCCCTTCCCCCGGTTTGGAAGGGTGCGACGACGGCGCCCGATGGGTGAATTGAATCGCCTGGGCGTTCCGGGAGCGGGAAGGCACCGCGAACGGCAGGGAACCCAGCGGCTGCGCCTTTGGGGTCCGGCCCCCTGCCCTCCCAGGCTGGAGCCGGGCTCCTGGCGGGGCGGCGGCGAGGCGGAAGCGGTGGGATGCTGCTGCCGGGCCGGCGTGCAGTAGGGGCGGACCCCCAGCAGGAGGACCCCGGCTGCGGCTGCGGCGGGGGTGTAGGTGGGCGGTAAAGGGGGAGCAGAGTCAGGGGAGGTTGGGAAGCATGGCGACTGTGGGGGGAAGGGAGGCAGCGGGGAAGCCACAAAAGCCTACAGCAGGCCGGGCGGGCGCGGTGGCTCGCGCCTGTAATCCCAGCACTCTGGGAGGCCGAGGCGGGTGGATCACGAGGTCAGGAGCTCCAGACCATCCCGGCTAACAGGGTGAAAGCCCGTCTCTAGGAAAAATAGAACAAAGTAGCCGGGCGTGGTGGCGGGCGCCTGTAGGCCCAGCTACTCGGGAGGCTGAGGCCGGGGAATGGCGTGAACCCGGGAGGCGGAGCTTGCAGTGAGCCGAGATGGCGCCACTGCACTCCAGCCTGGGCGACAGGGCGAGACTCCGTCTGGAAGAAAAGGAAAGAAACAGCAAAAAGCCAAAGAAAAAGCCTACAGCACCCGGTATTCCCAGGCGGTCTCCCATCCAAGTACTAACCAGGCCCGACCCTGCTTAGCTTCCGAGATCAGACGAGATCGGGCGCGTTCAGGGTGGTATGGCCGTAGACGCTGAAGGAGGCGCCTGGCTGCCCCAAGAGCCCAGCCCGGCCCGGCCGTGCCCGCCGGATTGCAGCCGACACCGCCAGCCCGGGGCCGCGGGGCTCGGATCGGGGACCCCCGAGCCGCTGGCCCGCGGCCTTCCCCCAGCTCCCGCGCTCCCGAGCTTCCACCACATCGGGCCCGCTCGGAGCAGGGAGTGCTCCGAGGCGTCAGGGCCCAGGGCCCACGATCCTGGGACGCCCTCCGGTCCTCCGCCCTGTCGCGGAGGCAGCGTTTTGGATCCCTCGCCGCACAGGGGCTCCTGCGAGGCCCCCTCTTGCCCCACCCACCCAGAGCCGTCAGGGCTGGCCGAAGGCGAACAGCCGGCCCAGCCGCGCGGGGCCTTTCTCTCACAACGCCCCCACCACGGTCGCTTGTCCCGACCAAGACCCGGCCGGGGGGGCAAGAGGGCGTGGGGTGTAGCGGGTCGGGGGGTGGCCCTGTTTTGCCCCGGGCTGGCACTAGAGGCGGCGGCCTGATCTCGGGTGAGAGGGCCTGAGAGAAACCCAGACACACCCCACCGCCACCAGGAGCAAATCCACTCCCCCACACACAGACACACCCGGGCGCGCTCGCACGCGCGCGCGCGGACTCACACACACACACACAGACACACAGACACACACGCACACACGCACGCGCACACGCACGCACACACACACGCGGCTTGAAGGAGAGCAAGGACGAGATGGATGGAGAGATAGAAACCGAGGGAGGGAGAGAGACAGCGATCGAGAGAGACAGGGGAGGGCGAGAGGGAAGGAGACAGACAGAGAGGCTGAGAAAGAGAGAGGCACAGAGAAAGAGAGAGAGAGAGACAGAGAGACAGAGGGAAAACGACAAAAGTAGCGCGAGGTCCAGGGGGAAACCCAGAAGAGAGAGGCGGAGGGAGCTAGAGAGCGAGAGCGATAGAGCCTTAGAGAGGAAGTGCCCGGCTCCGTTAGGCAGCGCCGTCTTGAGCAGGTCGGGATAGGGTGGAGGGGGCTTGGGCTGCGCCCAGAACACGGGGGCCAGGCGGTCCGTGCGAGAGGACCAACGGAGCGCTGAGGCGGGCGTTTTCTTGGATGAATTGCTTGCTTTGGAGGTGGGTTTCGTAGGCTCCTGCCTTTCTTGGCAGCTCCCTGTGCTCTGGGTGCCTTGCGGCGGGCCCCGAGATTTGCAGAGCGCGCCCGCCCGTTTGGCGGGAGCCGTGGCACCGGGCGGGCCCGGAGGCCTGGGTCTCTGGCGAGTCCTCGGGACTGGAGTCGTCGACACGAAGCGGGGGGCATTGGGAATCCCGGGTGCACAGGGCCTGTTTTCCCGGTGGCTGGCGAAGCAATGTCCTTCCCCCGGGTAAAGCAGCCCATGCGTTCCGGAGCCGACGTCTTGGCTGGCGTCTGTGGCACCCGCTGCCCCTGCCCGCCCCTTCCCCCGGTTTGGAAGGGTGCGACGACGGCGCCCGATGGGTGAATTGAATCGCCTGGGCGTTCCGGGAGCGGGAAGGCACCGCGAACGGCAGGGAACCCAGCGGCTGCGCCTTTGGGGTCCGGCCCCCTGCCCTCCCAGGCTGGAGCCGGGCTCCTGGCGGGGCGGCGGCGAGGCGGAAGCGGTGGGATGCTGCTGCCGGGCCGGCGTGCAGTAGGGGCGGACCCCCAGCAGGAGGACCCCGGCTGCGGCTGCGGCGGGGGTGTAGGTGGGCGGTAAAGGGGGAGCAGAGTCAGGGGAGGTTGGGTAGCATGGCGACTGTGGGGGGAAGGGAGGCAGCGGGGAAGCCACAAAAGCCTACAGCAGGCCGGGCGGGCGCGGTGGCTCGCGCCTGTAATCCCAGCACTCTGGGAGGCCGAGGCGGGTGGATCACGAGGTCAGGAGCTCCAGACCATCCCGGCTAACAGGGTGAAAGCCCGTCTCTAGGAAAAATAGAACAAAGTAGCCGGGCGTGGTGGCGGGCGCCTGTAGGCCCAGCTACTCGGGAGGCTGAGGCCGGGGAATGGCGTGAACCCGGGAGGCGGAGCTTGCAGTGAGCCGAGATGGCGCCACTGCACTCCAGCCTGGGCGACAGGGCGAGACTCCGTCTGGAAGAAAAGGAAAGAAACAGCAAAAAGCCAAAGAAAAAGCCTACAGCACCCGGTATTCCCAGGCGGTCTCCCATCCAAGTACTAACCAGGCCCGACCCTGCTTAGCTTCCGAGATCAGACGAGATCGGGCGCGTTCAGGGTGGTATGGCCGTAGACGCTGAAGGAGGCGCCTGGCTGCCCCAAGAGCCCAGCCCGGCCCGGCCGTGCCCGCCGGATTGCAGCCGACACCGCCAGCCCGGGGCCGCGGGGCTCGGATCGGGGACCCCCGAGCCGCTGGCCCGCGGCCTTCCCCCGGCTCCCGCGCTCCCGAGCTTCCACCACATCGGGCCCGCTCGGAGCAGGGAGTGCTCCGAGGCGTCAGGGCCCAGGGCCCACGATCCTGGGACGCCCTCCGGTCCTCCGCCCTGTCGCGGAGGCAGCGTTTTGGATCCCTCGCCGCACAGGGGCTCCTGCGAGGCCCCCTCTTGCCCCACCCACCCAGAGCCGTCAGGGCTGGCCGAAGGCGAACAGCCGGCCCAGCCGCGCGGGGCCTTTCTCTCACAACGCCCCCACCACGGTCGCTTGTCCCGACCAAGACCCGGCCGGGGGGGCAAGAGGGCGTGGGGTGTAGCGGGTCGGGGGGTGGCCCTGTTTTGCCCCGGGCTGGCACTAGAGGCGGCGGCCTGATCTCGGGTGAGAGGGCCTGAGAGAAACCCAGACACACCCCACCGCCACCAGGAGCAAATCCACTCCCCCACACACAGACACACCCGGGCGCGCTCGCACCCGCGCGCGCGGACACACACACACACACAGACACACACGCACACACGCACGCGCACACGCACGCACACACACACGCGGCTTGAAGGAGAGCAAGGACGAGATGGATGGAGAGATAGAAACCGAGGGAGGGAGAGAGACAGCGATCGAGAGAGACAGGGGAGGGCGAGAGGGAAGGAGACAGACAGAGAGGCTGAGAAAGAGAGAGGCACAGAGAAAGAGAGAGAGAGAGACAGAGAGACAGAGGGAAAACGACAAAAGTAGCGCGAGGTCCAGGGGGAAACCCAGAAGAGAGAGGCGGAGGGAGCTAGAGAGCGAGAGCGATAGAGCCTTAGAGAGGAAGCGCCCGGCTCCGTTAGGCAGCGCCCTCTTGAGCAGGCCGGGATAGGGTGGAGGGGGCTTGGGCTGCGCCCAGAACACGGGGTCCAGGCGGTCCGTGCGAGAGGACCAACGGAGCGCTGAGGCGGGCGTTTTCTTGGATGAATTGCTTGCTTTGGAGGTGGGTTTCGTAGGCTCCTGCCTTTCTTGGCACCTCCCTGTGCTCTGGGTGCCTTGCGGCGGGCCCCGAGATTTGCAGAGCGCGCCCGCCCGTTTGGCGGGAGCCGTGGCACCGGGCGGGCCCGGAGGCCTGGGTCTCTGGCGAGTCCTCGGGACTGGAGTCGTCGACACGCAGCGGGAGGGCATTGGGAATCCCGGGTGCACAGGGCCTGTTTTCCCGGTGGCTGGCGAAGCAATGTCCTTCCCCCGGGTAAAGCAGCCCATGCGTTCTGGAGCCGACGTCTTGGCTGGCGTCTGTGGCACCCGCTGCCCCTGCCCGCCCCTTCCCCCGGTTTGGAAGGGTGCGACGACGGCGCCCGATGGGTGAATTGAATCACCTGGGCGTTCCGGGAGCGGGAAGGCACCGCGAACGGCAGGGAACCCAGCGGCTGCGCCTTTGGGGTCCGGCCCCCTGCCCTCCCAGGCTGGAGCCGGGCTCCTGGCGGAGCGGTGGGATGCTGCTGCCGGGCCGGCGTGCAGTAGGGGCGGACCCCCAGCAGGAGGACCCCGGCTGCGGCTGCGGCGGGGGTGTAGGTGGGCGGTAAAGGCGGAGCAGAGTCAGGGGAGGTTGGGAAGCATGGCGACTGTGGGGGGAAGGGAGGCAGCCGGGAAGCCACAAAAGCCTACAGCAGGCCGGGCGGGCGCGGTGGCTCGCGCCTGTAATCCCAGCACTCTGGGAGGCCGAGGCGGGTGGATCACGAGGTCAGGAGCTCCAGACCATCCCGGCTAACAGGGTGAAAGCCCGTCTCTAGGAAAAATAGAACAAAGTAGCCGGGCGTGGTGGCGGGCGCCTGTAGGCCCAGCTACTCGGGAGGCTGAGGCCGGGGAATGGCGTGAACCCGGGAGGCGGAGCTTGCAGTGAGCCGAGATGGCGCCACTGCACTCCAGCCTGGGCGACAGGGCGAGACTCCGTCTGGAAGAAAAGGAAAGAAACAGCAAAAAGCCAAAGAAAAAGCCTACAGCACCCGGTATTCCCAGGCGGTCTCCCATCCAAGTACTAACCAGGCCCGACCCTGCTTAGCTTCCGAGATCAGACGAGATCGGGCGCGTTCAGGGTGGTATGGCCGTAGACGCTGAAGGAGGCGCCTGGCTGCCCCAAGAGCCCAGCCCGGCCCGGCCGTGCCCGCCGGATTGCAGCCGACACCGCCAGCCCGGGGCCGCGGGGCTCGGATCGGGGACCCCCGAGCCGCTGGCCCGCGGCCTTCCCCCAGCTCCCGCGCTCCCGAGCTTCCACCACATCGGGCCCGCTCGGAGCAGGGAGTGCTCCGAGGCGTCAGGGCCCAGGGCCCACGATCCTGGGACGCCCTCCGGTCCTCCGCCCTGTCGCGGAGGCAGCGTTTTGGATCCCTCGCCGCACAGGGGCTCCTGCGAGGCCCCCTCTTGCCCCACCCACCCAGAGCCGTCAGGGCTGGCCGAAGGCGAACAGCCGGCCCAGCCGCGCGGGGCCTTTCTCTCACAACGCCCCCACCACGGTCGCTTGTCCCGACCAAGACCCGGCCGGGGGGGCAAGAGGGCGTGGGGTGTAGCGGGTCGGGGGGTGGCCCTGTTTTGCCCCGGGCTGGCACTAGAGGCGGCGGCCTGATCTCGGGTGAGAGGGCCTGAGAGAAACCCAGACACACCCCACCGCCACCAGGAGCAAATCCACTCCCCCACACACAGACACACCCGGGCGCGCTCGCACGCGCGCGCGCGGACTCACACACACACACACACACGCACGCGCACACGCACGCACACACACACGCGGCTTGAAGGAGAGCAAGGACGAGATGGATGGAGAGATAGAAACCGAGGGAGGGAGAGAGACAGCGATCGAGAGAGACAGGGGAGGGCGAGAGGGAAGGAGACAGACAGAGAGGCTGAGAAAGAGAGAGGCACAGAGAAAGAGAGAGAGAGAGACAGAGAGACAGAGGGAAAACGACAGAAGTAGCGCGAGGTCCAGGGGGAAACCCAGAAGAGAGAGGCGGAGGGAGCTAGAGAGCGAGAGCGATAGAGCCTTAGAGAGGAAGCGCCCGGCTCCGTTAGGCAGCGCCCTCTTGAGCAGGCCGGGATAGGGTGGAGGGGGCTTGGGCTGCGCCCAGAACACGGGGGCCAGGCGGTCCGTGCGAGAGGACCAACGGAGCGCTGAGGCGGGCGTTTTCTTGGATGAATTGCTTGCTTTGGAGGTGGGTTTCGTAGGCTCCTGCCTTTCTTGGCACCTCCCTGTGCTCTGGGTGCCTTGCGGCGGGCCCCGAGATTTGCAGAGCGCGCCCGCCCGTTTGGCGGGAGCCGTGGCACCGGGCGGGCCCGGAGGCCTGGGTCTCTGGCGAGTCCTCGGGACTGGAGTCGTCGACACGCAGCGGGAGGGCATTGGGAATCCCGGGTGCACAGGGCCTGTTTTCCCGGTGGCTGGCGAAGCAATGTCCTTCCCCCGGGTAAAGCAGCCCATGCGTTCCGGAGCCGACGTCTTGGCTGGCGTCTGTGGCACCCGCTGCCCCTGCCCGCCCCTTCCCCCGGTTTGGAAGGGTGCGACGACGGCGCCCGATGGGTGAATTGAATCGCCTGGGCGTTCCGGGAGCGGGAAGGCACCGCGAACGGCAGGGAACCCAGCGGCTGCGCCTTTGGGGTCCGGCCCCCTGCCCTCCCAGGCTGGAGCCGGGCTCCTGGCGGGGCGGCGGCGAGGCGGAAGCGGTGGGATGCTGCTGCCCGGCCGGCGTGCAGTAGGGGCGGACCCCCAGCAGGAGGACCCCGGCTGCGGCTGCGGCGGGGGTGTAGGTGGGCGGTAAAGGGGGAGCAGAGTCAGGGGAGGTTGGGTAGCATGGCGACTGTGGGGGGAAGGGAGGCAGCGGGGAAGCCACAAAAGCCTACAGCAGGCCGGGCGGGCGCGGTGGCTCGCGCCTGTAATCCCAGCACTCTGGGAGGCCGAGGCGGGTGGATCACGAGGTCAGGAGCTCCAGACCATCCCGGCTAACAGGGTGAAAGCCCGTCTCTAGGAAAAATAGAACAAAGTAGCCGGGCGTGGTGGCGGGCGCCTGTAGGCCCAGCTACTCGGGAGGCTGAGGCCGGGGAATGGCGTGAACCCGGGAGGCGGAGCTTGCAGTGAGCCGAGATGGCGCCACTGCACTCCAGCCTGGGCGACAGGGCGAGACTCCGTCTGGAAGAAAAGGAAAGAAACAGCAAAAAGCCAAAGAAAAAGCCTACAGCACCCGGTATTCCCAGGCGGTCTCCCATCCAAGTACTAACCAGGCCCGACCCTGCTTAGCTTCCGAGATCAGACGAGATCGGGCGCGTTCAGGGTGGTATGGCCGTAGACGCTGAAGGAGGCGCCTGGCTGCCCCAAGAGCCCAGCCCGGCCCGGCCGTGCCCGCCGGATTGCAGCCGACACCGCCAGCCCGGGGCCGCGGGGCTCGGATCGGGGACCCCCGAGCCGCTGGCCCGCGGCCTTCCCCCAGCTCCCGCGCTCCCGAGCTTCCACCACATCGGGCCCGCTCGGAGCAGGGAGTGCTCCGAGGCGTCAGGGCCCAGGGCCCACGATCCTGGGACGCCCTCCGGTCCTCCGCCCTGTCGCGGAGGCAGCGTTTTGGATCCCTCGCCGCACAGGGGCTCCTGCGAGGCCCCCTCTTGCCCCACCCACCCAGAGCCGTCAGGGCTGGCCGAAGGCGAACAGCCGGCCCAGCCGCGCGGGGCCTTTCTCTCACAACGCCCCCACCACGGTCGCTTGTCCCGACCAAGACCCGGCCGGGGGGGCAAGAGGGCGTGGGGTGTAGCGGGTCGGGGGGTGGCCCTGTTTTGCCCCGGGCTGGCACTAGAGGCGGCGGCCTGATCTCGGGTGAGAGGGCCTGAGAGAAACCCAGACACACCCCACCGCCACCAGGAGCAAATCCACTCCCCCACACACAGACACACCCGGGCGCGCTCGCACGCGCGCGCGCGGACTCACACACACACACACAGACACACAGACACACACGCACACACGCACGCGCACACGCACGCACACACACACGCGGCTTGAAGGAGAGCAAGGACGAGATGGATGGAGAGATAGAAACCGAGGGAGGGAGAGAGACAGCGATCGAGAGAGACAGGGGAGGGCGAGAGGGAAGGAGACAGACAGAGAGGCTGAGAAAGAGAGAGGCACAGAGAAAGAGAGAGAGAGAGACAGAGAGACAGAGGGAAAACGACAAAAGTAGCGCGAGGTCCAGGGGGAAACCCAGAAGAGAGAGGCGGAGGGAGCTAGAGAGCGAGAGCGATAGAGCCTTAGAGAGGAAGCGCCCGGCTCCGTTAGGCAGCGCCCTCTTGAGCAGGCCGGGATAGGGTGGAGGGGGCTTGGGCTGCGCCCAGAACACGGGGTCCAGGCGGTCCGTGCGAGAGGACCAACGGAGCGCTGAGGCGGGCGTTTTCTTGGATGAATTGCTTGCTTTGGAGGTGGGTTTCGTAGGCTCCTGCCTTTCTTGGCACCTCCCTGTGCTCTGGGTGCCTTGCGGCGGGCCCCGAGATTTGCAGAGCGCGCCCGCCCGTTTGGCGGGAGCCGTGGCACCGGGCGGGCCCGGAGGCCTGGGTCTCTGGCGAGTCCTCGGGACTGGAGTCGTCGACACGCAGCGGGAGGGCATTGGGAATCCCGGGTGCACAGGGCCTGTTTTCCCGGTGGCTGGCGAAGCAATGTCCTTCCCCCGGGTAAAGCAGCCCATGCGTTCCGGAGCCGACGTCTTGGCTGGCGTCTGTGGCACCCGCTGCCCCTGCCCGCCCCTTCCCCCGGTTTGGAAGGGTGCGACGACGGCGCCCGATGGGTGAATTGAATCGCCTGGGCGTTCCGGGAGCGGGAAGGCACCGCGAACGGCAGGGAACCCAGCGGCTGCGCCTTTGGGGTCCGGCCCCCTGCCCTCCCAGGCTGGAGCCGGGCTCCTGGCGGGGCGGCGGCGAGGCGGAAGCGGTGGGATGCTGCTGCCGGGCCGGCGTGCAGTAGGGGCGGACCCCCAGCAGGAGGACCCCGGCTGCGGCTGCGGCGGGGGTGTAGGTGGGCGGTAAAGGGGGAGCAGAGTCAGGGGAGGTTGGGAAGCATGGCGACTGTGGGGGGAAGGGAGGCAGCGGGGAAGCCACAAAAGCCTACAGCAGGCCGGGCGGGCGCGGTGGCTCGCGCCTGTAATCCCAGCACTCTGGGAGGCCGAGGCGGGTGGATCACGAGGTCAGGAGCTCCAGACCATCCCGGCTAACAGGGTGAAAGCCCGTCTCTAGGAAAAATAGAACAAAGTAGCCGGGCGTGGTGGCGGGCGCCTGTAGGCCCAGCTACTCGGGAGGCTGAGGCCGGGGAATGGCGTGAACCCGGGAGGCGGAGCTTGCAGTGAGCCGAGATGGCGCCACTGCACTCCAGCCTGGGCGACAGGGCGAGACTCCGTCTGGAAGAAAAGGAAAGAAACAGCAAAAAGCCAAAGAAAAAGCCTACAGCACCCGGTATTCCCAGGCGGTCTCCCATCCAAGTACTAACCAGGCCCGACCCTGCTTAGCTTCCGAGATCAGACGAGATCGGGCGCGTTCAGGGTGGTATGGCCGTAGACGCTGAAGGAGGCGCCTGGCTGCCCCAAGAGCCCAGCCCGGCCCGGCCGTGCCCGCCGGATTGCAGCCGACACCGCCAGCCCGGGGCCGCGGGGCTCGGATCGGGGACCCCCGAGCCGCTGGCCCGCGGCCTTCCCCCGGCTCCCGCGCTCCCGAGCTTCCACCACATCGGGCCCGCTCGGAGCAGGGAGTGCTCCGAGGCGTCAGGGCCCAGGGCCCACGATCCTGGGACGCCCTCCGGTCCTCCGCCCTGTCGCGGAGGCAGCGTTTTGGATCCCTCGCCGCACAGGGGCTCCTGCGAGGCCCCCTCTTGCCCCACCCACCCAGAGCCGTCAGGGCTGGCCGAAGGCGAACAGCCGGCCCAGCCGCGCGGGGCCTTTCTCTCACAACGCCCCCACCACGGTCGCTTGTCCCGACCAAGACCCGGCCGGGGGGGCAAGAGGGCGTGGGGTGTAGCGGGTCGGGGGGTGGCCCTGTTTTGCCCCGGGCTGGCACTAGAGGCGGCGGCCTGATCTCGGGTGAGAGGGCCTGAGAGAAACCCAGACACACCCCACCGCCACCAGGAGCAAATCCACTCCCCCACACACAGACACACCCGGGCGCGCTCGCACGCGCGCGCGCGGACTCACACACACACACACAGACACACAGACACACGCACACACGCACGCGCACACGCACGCACACACACACGCGGCTTGAAGGAGAGCAAGGACGAGATGGATGGAGAGATAGAAACCGAGGGAGGGAGAGAGACAGCGATCGAGAGAGACAGGGGAGGGCGAGAGGGAAGGAGACAGACAGAGAGGCTGAGAAAGAGAGAGGCACAGAGAAAGAGAGAGAGAGAGACAGAGAGACAGAGGGAAAACGACAAAAGTAGCGCGAGGTCCAGGGGGAAACCCAGAAGAGAGAGGCGGAGGGAGCTAGAGAGCGAGAGCGATAGAGCCTTAGAGAGGAAGTGCCCGGCTCCGTTAGGCAGCGCCGTCTTGAGCAGGTCGGGATAGGGTGGAGGGGGCTTGGGCTGCGCCCAGAACACGGGGGCCAGGCGGTCCGTGCGAGAGGACCAACGGAGCGCTGAGGCGGGCGTTTTCTTGGATGAATTGCTTGCTTTGGAGGTGGGTTTCGTAGGCTCCTGCCTTTCTTGGCAGCTCCCTGTGCTCTGGGTGCCTTGCGGCGGGCCCCGAGATTTGCAGAGCGCGCCCGCCCGTTTGGCGGGAGCCGTGGCACCGGGCGGGCCCGGAGGCCTGGGTCTCTGGCGAGTCCTCGGGACTGGAGTCGTCGACACGAAGCGGGGGGCATTGGGAATCCCGGGTGCACAGGGCCTGTTTTCCCGGTGGCTGGCGAAGCAATGTCCTTCCCCCGGGTAAAGCAGCCCATGCGTTCCGGAGCCGACGTCTTGGCTGGCGTCTGTGGCACCCGCTGCCCCTGCCCGCCCCTTCCCCCGGTTTGGAAGGGTGCGACGACGGCGCCCGATGGGTGAATTGAATCGCCTGGGCGTTCCGGGAGCGGGAAGGCACCGCGAACGGCAGGGAACCCAGCGGCTGCGCCTTTGGGGTCCGGCCCCCTGCCCTCCCAGGCTGGAGCCGGGCTCCTGGCGGGGCGGCGGCGAGGCGGAAGCGGTGGGATGCTGCTGCCGGGCCGGCGTGCAGTAGGGGCGGACCCCCAGCAGGAGGACCCCGGCTGCGGCTGCGGCGGGGGTGTAGGTGGGCGGTAAAGGGGGAGCAGAGTCAGGGGAGGTTGGGTAGCATGGCGACTGTGGGGGGAAGGGAGGCAGCCGGGAAGCCACAAAAGCCTACAGCAGGCCGGGCGGGCGCGGTGGCTCGCGCCTGTAATCCCAGCACTCTGGGAGGCCGAGGCGGGTGGATCACGAGGTCAGGAGCTCCAGACCATCCCGGCTAACA
The DNA here is from genome assembly GCF_000001405.40 of Homo sapiens. NCBI lineage: Eukaryota > Metazoa > Chordata > Mammalia > Primates > Hominidae > Homo > Homo sapiens. The sequence goes on from NC_000001.11 coordinate 228,627,927, forward strand.
GGGTGAAAGCCCGTCTCTAGGAAAAATAGAACAAAGTAGCCGGGCGTGGTGGCGGGCGCCTGTAGGCCCAGCTACTCGGGAGGCTGAGGCCGGGGAATGGCGTGAACCCGGGAGGCGGAGCTTGCAGTGAGCCGAGATGGCGCCACTGCACTCCAGCCTGGGCGACAGGGCGAGACTCCGTCTGGAAGAAAAGGAAAGAAACAGCAAAAAGCCAAAGAAAAAGCCTACAGCACCCGGTATTCCCAGGCGGTCTCCCGTCCAAGTACTAACCAGGCCCGACCCTGCTTAGCTTCCGAGATCAGACGAGATCGGGCGCGTTCAGGGTGGTATGGCCGTAGACGCTGAAGGAGGCGCCTGGCTGCCCCAAGAGCCCAGCCCGGCCCGGCCGTGCCCGCCGGATTGCAGCCGACACCGCCAGCCCGGGGCCGCGGGGCTCGGATCGGGGACCCCCGAGCCGCTGGCCCGCGGCCTTCCCCCGGCTCCCGCGCTCCCGAGCTTCCACCACATCGGGCCCGCTCGGAGCAGGGAGTGCTCCGAGGCGTCAGGGCCCAGGGCCCACGATCCTGGGACGCCCTCCGGTCCTCCGCCCTGTCGCGGAGGCAGCGTTTTGGATCCCTCGCCGCACAGGGGCTCCTGCGAGGCCCCCTCTTGCCCCACCCACCCAGAGCCGTCAGGGCTGGCCGAAGGCGAACAGCCGGCCCAGCCGCGCGGGGCCTTTCTCTCACAACGCCCCCACCACGGTCGCTTGTCCCGACCAAGACCCGGCCGGGGGGGCAAGAGGGCGTGGGGTGTAGCGGGTCGGGGGGTGGCCCTGTTTTGCCCCGGGCTGGCACTAGAGGCGGCGGCCTGATCTCGGGTGAGAGGGCCTGAGAGAAACCCAGACACACCCCACCGCCACCAGGAGCAAATCCACTCCCCCACACACAGACACACCCGGGCGCGCTCGCACGCGCGCGCGCGGACTCACACACACACACACAGACACACAGACACACACGCACACACGCACGCGCACACGCACGCACACACACACGCGGCTTGAAGGAGAGCAAGGACGAGATGGATGGAGAGATAGAAACCGAGGGAGGGAGAGAGACAGCGATCGAGAGAGACAGGGGAGGGCGAGAGGGAAGGAGACAGACAGAGAGGCTGAGAAAGAGAGAGGCACAGAGAAAGAGAGAGAGAGAGACAGAGAGACAGAGGGAAAACGACAAAAGTAGCGCGAGGTCCAGGGGGAAACCCAGAAGAGAGAGGCGGAGGGAGCTAGAGAGCGAGAGCGATAGAGCCTTAGAGAGGAAGCGCCCGGCTCCGTTAGGCAGCGCCCTCTTGAGCAGGCCGGGATAGGGTGGAGGGGGCTTGGGCTGCGCCCAGAACACGGGGTCCAGGCGGTCCGTGCGAGAGGACCAACGGAGCGCTGAGGCGGGCGTTTTCTTGGATGAATTGCTTGCTTTGGAGGTGGGTTTCGTAGGCTCCTGCCTTTCTTGGCACCTCCCTGTGCTCTGGGTGCCTTGCGGCGGGCCCCGAGATTTGCAGAGCGCGCCCGCCCGTTTGGCGGGAGCCGTGGCACCGGGCGGGCCCGGAGGCCTGGGTCTCTGGCGAGTCCTCGGGACTGGAGTCGTCGACACGCAGCGGGAGGGCATTGGGAATCCCGGGTGCACAGGGCCTGTTTTCCCGGTGGCTGGCGAAGCAATGTCCTTCCCCCGGGTAAAGCAGCCCATGCGTTCCGGAGCCGACGTCTTGGCTGGCGTCTGTGGCACCCGCTGCCCCTGCCCGCCCCTTCCCCCGGTTTGGAAGGGTGCGACGACGGCGCCCGATGGGTGAATTGAATCGCCTGGGCGTTCCGGGAGCGGGAAGGCACCGCGAACGGCAGGGAACCCAGCGGCTGCGCCTTTGGGGTCCGGCCCCCTGCCCTCCCAGGCTGGAGCCGGGCTCCTGGCGGGGCGGCGGCGAGGCGGAAGCGGTGGGATGCTGCTGCCGGGCCGGCGTGCAGTAGGGGCGGACCCCCAGCAGGAGGACCCCGGCTGCGGCTGCGGCGGGGGTGTAGGTGGGCGGTAAAGGGGGAGCAGAGTCAGGGGAGGTTGGGAAGCATGGCGACTGTGGGGGGAAGGGAGGCAGCGGGGAAGCCACAAAAGCCTACAGCAGGCCGGGCGGGCGCGGTGGCTCGCGCCTGTAATCCCAGCACTCTGGGAGGCCGAGGCGGGTGGATCACGAGGTCAGGAGCTCCAGACCATCCCGGCTAACAGGGTGAAAGCCCGTCTCTAGGAAAAATAGAACAAAGTAGCCGGGCGTGGTGGCGGGCGCCTGTAGGCCCAGCTACTCGGGAGGCTGAGGCCGGGGAATGGCGTGAACCCGGGAGGCGGAGCTTGCAGTGAGCCGAGATGGCGCCACTGCACTCCAGCCTGGGCGACAGGGCGAGACTCCGTCTGGAAGAAAAGGAAAGAAACAGCAAAAAGCCAAAGAAAAAGCCTACAGCACCCGGTATTCCCAGGCGGTCTCCCATCCAAGTACTAACCAGGCCCGACCCTGCTTAGCTTCCGAGATCAGACGAGATCGGGCGCGTTCAGGGTGGTATGGCCGTAGACGCTGAAGGAGGCGCCTGGCTGCCCCAAGAGCCCAGCCCGGCCCGGCCGTGCCCGCCGGATTGCAGCCGACACCGCCAGCCCGGGGCCGCGGGGCTCGGATCGGGGACCCCCGAGCCGCTGGCCCGCGGCCTTCCCCCGGCTCCCGCGCTCCCGAGCTTCCACCACATCGGGCCCGCTCGGAGCAGGGAGTGCTCCGAGGCGTCAGGGCCCAGGGCCCACGATCCTGGGACGCCCTCCGGTCCTCCGCCCTGTCGCGGAGGCAGCGTTTTGGATCCCTCGCCGCACAGGGGCTCCTGCGAGGCCCCCTCTTGCCCCACCCACCCAGAGCCGTCAGGGCTGGCCGAAGGCGAACAGCCGGCCCAGCCGCGCGGGGCCTTTCTCTCACAACGCCCCCACCACGGTCGCTTGTCCCGACCAAGACCCGGCCGGGGGGGCAAGAGGGCGTGGGGTGTAGCGGGTCGGGGGGTGGCCCTGTTTTGCCCCGGGCTGGCACTAGAGGCGGCGGCCTGATCTCGGGTGAGAGGGCCTGAGAGAAACCCAGACACACCCCACCGCCACCAGGAGCAAATCCACTCCCCCACACACAGACACACCCGGGCGCGCTCGCACGCGCGCGCGCGGACTCACACACACACACACAGACACACAGACACACACGCACACACGCACGCGCACACGCACGCACACACACACGCGGCTTGAAGGAGAGCAAGGACGAGATGGATGGAGAGATAGAAACCGAGGGAGGGAGAGAGACAGCGATCGAGAGAGACAGGGGAGGGCGAGAGGGAAGGAGACAGACAGAGAGGCTGAGAAAGAGAGAGGCACAGAGAAAGAGAGAGAGAGAGACAGAGAGACAGAGGGAAAACGACAAAAGTAGCGCGAGGTCCAGGGGGAAACCCAGAAGAGAGAGGCGGAGGGAGCTAGAGAGCGAGAGCGATAGAGCCTTAGAGAGGAAGCGCCCGGCTCCGTTAGGCAGCGCCCTCTTGAGCAGGCCGGGATAGGGTGGAGGGGGCTTGGGCTGCGCCCAGAACACGGGGGCCAGGCGGTCCGTGCGAGAGGACCAACGGAGCGCTGAGGCGGGCGTTTTCTTGGATGAATTGCTTGCTTTGGAGGTGGGTTTCGTAGGCTCCTGCCTTTCTTGGCACCTCCCTGTGCTCTGGGTGCCTTGCGGCGGGCCCCGAGATTTGCAGAGCGCGCCCGCCCGTTTGGCGGGAGCCGTGGCACCGGGCGGGCCCGGAGGCCTGGGTCTCTGGCGAGTCCTCGGGACTGGAGTCGTCGACACGAAGCGGGGGGCATTGGGAATCCCGGGTGCACAGGGCCTGTTTTCCCGGTGGCTGGCGAAGCAATGTCCTTCCCCCGGGTAAAGCAGCCCATGCGTTCCGGAGCCGACGTCTTGGCTGGCGTCTGTGGCACCCGCTGCCCCTGCCCGCCCCTTCCCCCGGTTTGGAAGGGTGCGACGACGGCGCCCGATGGGTGAATTGAATCGCCTGGGCGTTCCGGGAGCGGGAAGGCACCGCGAACGGCAGGGAACCCAGCGGCTGCGCCTTTGGGGTCCGGCCCCCTGCCCTCCCAGGCTGGAGCCGGGCTCCTGGCGGGGCGGCGGCGAGGCGGAAGCGGTGGGATGCTGCTGCCGGGCCGGCGTGCAGTAGGGGCGGACCCCCAGCAGGAGGACCCCGGCTGCGGCTGCGGCGGGGGTGTAGGTGGGCGGTAAAGGGGGAGCAGAGTCAGGGGAGGTTGGGTAGCATGGCGACTGTGGGGGGAAGGGAGGCAGCGGGGAAGCCACAAAAGCCTACAGCAGGCCGGGCGGGCGCGGTGGCTCGCGCCTGTAATCCCAGCACTCTGGGAGGCCGAGGCGGGTGGATCACGAGGTCAGGAGCTCCAGACCATCCCGGCTAACAGGGTGAAAGCCCGTCTCTAGGAAAAATAGAACAAAGTAGCCGGGCGTGGTGGCGGGCGCCTGTAGGCCCAGCTACTCGGGAGGCTGAGGCCGGGGAATGGCGTGAACCCGGGAGGCGGAGCTTGCAGTGAGCCGAGATGGCGCCACTGCACTCCAGCCTGGGCGACAGGGCGAGACTCCGTCTGGAAGAAAAGGAAAGAAACAGCAAAAAGCCAAAGAAAAAGCCTACAGCACCCGGTATTCCCAGGCGGTCTCCCATCCAAGTACTAACCAGGCCCGACCCTGCTTAGCTTCCGAGATCAGACGAGATCGGGCGCGTTCAGGGTGGTATGGCCGTAGACGCTGAAGGAGGCGCCTGGCTGCCCCAAGAGCCCAGCCCGGCCCGGCCGTGCCCGCCGGATTGCAGCCGACACCGCCAGCCCGGGGCCGCGGGGCTCGGATCGGGGACCCCCGAGCCGCTGGCCCGCGGCCTTCCCCCGGCTCCCGCGCTCCCGAGCTTCCACCACATCGGGCCCGCTCGGAGCAGGGAGTGCTCCGAGGCGTCAGGGCCCAGGGCCCACGATCCTGGGACGCCCTCCGGTCCTCCGCCCTGTCGCGGAGGCAGCGTTTTGGATCCCTCGCCGCACAGGGGCTCCTGCGAGGCCTCCTCTTGCCCCACCCACCCAGAGCCGTCAGGGCTGGCCGAAGGCGAACAGCCGGCCCAGCCGCGCGGGGCCTTTCTCTCACAACGCCCCCACCACGGTCGCTTGTCCCGACCAAGACCCGGCCGGGGGGGCAAGAGGGCGTGGGGTGTAGCGGGTCGGGGGGTGGCCCTGTTTTGCCCCGGGCTGGCACTAGAGGCGGCGGCCTGATCTCGGGTGAGAGGGCCTGAGAGAAACCCAGACACACCCCACCGCCACCAGGAGCAAATCCACTCCCCCACACACAGACACACCCGGGCGCGCTCGCACGCGCGCGCGCGGACTCACACACACACACACAGACACACAGACACACACGCACACACGCACGCGCACACGCACGCACACACACACGCGGCTTGAAGGAGAGCAAGGACGAGATGGATGGAGAGATAGAAACCGAGGGAGGGAGAGAGACAGCGATCGAGAGAGACAGGGGAGGGCGAGAGGGAAGGAGACAGACAGAGAGGCTGAGAAAGAGAGAGGCACAGAGAAAGAGAGAGAGAGAGACAGAGAGACAGAGGGAAAACGACAGAAGTAGCGCGAGGTCCAGGGGGAAACCCAGAAGAGAGAGGCGGAGGGAGCTAGAGAGCGAGAGCGATAGAGCCTTAGAGAGGAAGTGCCCGGCTCCGTTAGGCAGCGCCCTCTTGAGCAGGCCGGGATAGGGTGGAGGGGGCTTGGGCTGCGCCAGAACACGGGGGCCAGGCGGTCCGTGCGAGAGGACCAACGGAGCGCTGAGGCGGGCGTTTTCTTGGATGAATTGCTTGCTTTGGAGGTGGGTTTCGTAGGCTCCTGCCTTTCTTGGCACCTCCCTGTGCTCTGGGTGCCTTGCGGCGGGCCCCGAGATTTGCAGAGCGCGCCCGCCCGTTTGGCGGGAGCCGTGGCACCGGGCGGGCCCGGAGGCCTGGGTCTCTGGCGAGTCCTCGGGACTGGAGTCGTCGACACGAAGCGGGGGGCATTGGGAATCCCGGGTGCACAGGGCCTGTTTTCCCGGTGGCTGGCGAAGCAATGTCCTTCCCCCGGGTAAAGCAGCCCATGCGTTCCGGAGCCGACGTCTTGGCTGGCGTCTGTGGCACCCGCTGCCCCTGCCCGCCCCTTCCCCCGGTTTGGAAGGGTGCGACGACGGCGCCCGATGGGTGAATTGAATCGCCTGGGCGTTCCGGGAGCGGGAAGGCACCGCGAACGGCAGGGAACCCAGCGGCTGCGCCTTTGGGGTCCGGCCCCCTGCCCTCCCAGGCTGGAGCCGGGCTCCTGGCGGGGCGGCGGCGAGGCGGAAGCGGTGGGATGCTGCTGCCCGGCCGGCGTGCAGTAGGGGCGGACCCCCAGCAGGAGGACCCCGGCTGCGGCTGCGGCGGGGGTGTAGGTGGGCGGTAAAGGGGGAGCAGAGTCAGGGGAGGTTGGGTAGCATGGCGACTGTGGGGGGAAGGGAGGCAGCGGGGAAGCCACAAAAGCCTACAGCAGGCCGGGCGGGCGCGGTGGCTCGCGCCTGTAATCCCAGCACTCTGGGAGGCCGAGGCGGGTGGATCACGAGGTCAGGAGCTCCAGACCATCCCGGCTAACAGGGTGAAAGCCCGTCTCTAGGAAAAATAGAACAAAGTAGCCGGGCGTGGTGGCGGGCGCCTGTAGGCCCAGCTACTCGGGAGGCTGAGGCCGGGGAATGGCGTGAACCCGGGAGGCGGAGCTTGCAGTGAGCCGAGATGGCGCCACTGCACTCCAGCCTGGGCGACAGGGCGAGACTCCGTCTGGAAGAAAAGGAAAGAAACAGCAAAAAGCCAAAGAAAAAGCCTACAGCACCCGGTATTCCCAGGCGGTCTCCCATCCAAGTACTAACCAGGCCCGACCCTGCTTAGCTTCCGAGATCAGACGAGATCGGGCGCGTTCAGGGTGGTATGGCCGTAGACGCTGAAGGAGGCGCCTGGCTGCCCCAAGAGCCCAGCCCGGCCCGGCCGTGCCCGCCGGATTGCAGCCGACACCGCCAGCCCGGGGCCGCGGGGCTCGGATCGGGGACCCCCGAGCCGCTGGCCCGCGGCCTTCCCCCGGCTCCCGCGCTCCCGAGCTTCCACCACATCGGGCCCGCTCGGAGCAGGGAGTGCTCCGAGGCGTCAGGGCCCAGGGCCCACGATCCTGGGACGCCCTCCGGTCCTCCGCCCTGTCGCGGAGGCAGCGTTTTGGATCCCTCGCCGCACAGGGGCTCCTGCGAGGCCCCCTCTTGCCCCACCCACCCAGAGCCGTCAGGGCTGGCCGAAGGCGAACAGCCGGCCCAGCCGCGCCGGGCCTTTCTCTCACAACGCCCCCACCACGGTCGCTTGTCCCGACCAAGACCCGGCCGGGGGGCAAGAGGGCGTGGGGTGTAGCGGGTCGGGGGGTGGCCCTGTTTTGCCCCGGGCTGGCACTAGAGGCGGCGGCCTGATCTCGGGTGAGAGGGCCTGAGAGAAACCCAGACACACCCCACCGCCACCAGGAGCAAATCCACTCCCCCACACACAGACACACCCGGGCGCGCTCGCACGCGCGCGCGCGGACACACACACACACAGACACACACGCACACACGCACGCGCACACGCACGCACACACACGCGGCTTGAAGGAGAGCAAGGACGAGATGGATGGAGAGATAGAAACCGAGGGAGGGAGAGAGACAGCGATCGAGAGAGACAGGGGAGGGCGAGAGGGAAGGAGACAGACAGAGAGGCTGAGAAAGAGAGAGGCACAGAGAAAGAGAGAGAGAGAGACAGAGAGACAGAGGGAAAACGACAGAAGTAGCGCGAGGTCCAGGGGGAAACCCAGAAGAGAGAGGCGGAGGGAGCTAGAGAGCGAGAGCGATAGAGCCTTAGAGAGGAAGTGCCCGGCTCCGTTAGGCAGCGCCCTCTTGAGCAGGCCGGGATAGGGTGGAGGGGGCTTGGGCTGCGCCAGAACACGGGGGCCAGGCGGTCCGTGCGAGAGGACCAACGGAGCGCTGAGGCGGGCGTTTTCTTGGATGAATTGCTTGCTTTGGAGGTGGGTTTCGTAGGCTCCTGCCTTTCTTGGCACCTCCCTGTGCTCTGGGTGCCTTGCGGCGGGCCCCGAGATTTGCAGAGCGCGCCCGCCCGTTTGGCGGGAGCCGTGGCACCGGGCGGGCCCGGAGGCCTGGGTCTCTGGCGAGTCCTCGGGACTGGAGTCGTCGACACGAAGCGGGGGGCATTGGGAATCCCGGGTGCACAGGGCCTGTTTTCCCGGTGGCTGGCGAAGCAATGTCCTTCCCCCGGGTAAAGCAGCCCATGCGTTCTGGAGCCGACGTCTTGGCTGGCGTCTGTGGCACCCGCTGCCCCTGCCCGCCCCTTCCCCCGGTTTGGAAGGGTGCGACGACGGCGCCCGATGGGTGAATTGAATCACCTGGGCGTTCCGGGAGCGGGAAGGCACCGCGAACGGCAGGGAACCCAGCGGCTGCGCCTTTGGGGTCCGGCCCCCTGCCCTCCCAGGCTGGAGCCGGGCTCCTGGCGGGGCGGCGGCGAGGCGGAAGCGGTGGGATGCTGCTGCCCGGCCGGCGTGCAGTAGGGGCGGACCCCCAGCAGGAGGACCCCGGCTGCGGCTGCGGCGGGGGTGTAGGTGGGCGGTAAAGGGGGAGCAGAGTCAGGGGAGGTTGGGTAGCATGGCGACTGTGGGGGGAAGGGAGGCAGCCGGGAAGCCACAAAAGCCTACAGCAGGCCGGGCGGGCGCGGTGGCTCGCGCCTGTAATCCCAGCACTCTGGGAGGCCGAGGCGGGTGGATCACGAGGTCAGGAGCTCCAGACCATCCCGGCTAACAGGGTGAAAGCCCGTCTCTAGGAAAAATAGAACAAAGTAGCCGGGCGTGGTGGCGGGCGCCTGTAGGCCCAGCTACTCGGGAGGCTGAGGCCGGGGAATGGCGTGAACCCGGGAGGCGGAGCTTGCAGTGAGCCGAGATGGCGCCACTGCACTCCAGCCTGGGCGACAGGGCGAGACTCCGTCTGGAAGAAAAGGAAAGAAACAGCAAAAAGCCAAAGAAAAAGCCTACAGCACCCGGTATTCCCAGGCGGTCTCCCATCCAAGTACTAACCAGGCCCGACCCTGCTTAGCTTCCGAGATCAGACGAGATCGGGCGCGTTCAGGGTGGTATGGCCGTAGACGCTGAAGGAGGCGCCTGGCTGCCCCAAGAGCCCAGCCCGGCCCGGCCGTGCCCGCCGGATTGCAGCCGACACCGCCAGCCCGGGGCCGCGGGGCTCGGATCGGGGACCCCCGAGCCGCTGGCCCGCGGCCTTCCCCCGGCTCCCGCGCTCCCGAGCTTCCACCACATCGGGCCCGCTCGGAGCAGGGAGTGCTCCGAGGCGTCAGGGCCCAGGGCCCACGATCCTGGGACGCCCTCCGGTCCTCCGCCCTGTCGCGGAGGCAGCGTTTTGGATCCCTCGCCGCACAGGGGCTCCTGCGAGGCCCCCTCTTGCCCCACCCACCCAGAGCCGTCAGGGCTGGCCGAAGGCGAACAGCCGGCCCAGCCGCGCGGGGCCTTTCTCTCACAACGCCCCCACCACGGTCGCTTGTCCCGACCAAGACCCGGCCGGGGGGGCAAGAGGGCGTGGGGTGTAGCGGGTCGGGGGGTGGCCCTGTTTTGCCCCGGGCTGGCACTAGAGGCGGCGGCCTGATCTCGGTTGAGAGGGCCTGAGAGAAACCCAGACACACCCCACCGCCACCAGGAGCAAATCCACTCCCCCACACACAGACACACCCGGGCGCGCTCGCACGCGCGCGCGCGGACTCACACACACACACACAGACACACAGACACACACGCACACACGCACGCGCACACGCACGCACACACACACGCGGCTTGAAGGAGAGCAAGGACGAGATGGATGGAGAGATAGAAACCGAGGGAGGGAGAGAGACAGCGATCGAGAGAGACAGGGGAGGGCGAGAGGGAAGGAGACAGACAGAGAGGCTGAGAAAGAGAGAGGCACAGAGAAAGAGAGAGAGAGAGACAGAGAGACAGAGGGAAAACGACAAAAGTAGCGCGAGGTCCAGGGGGAAACCCAGAAGAGAGAGGCGGAGGGAGCTAGAGAGCGAGAGCGATAGAGCCTTAGAGAGGAAGCGCCCGGCTCCGTTAGGCAGCGCCCTCTTGAGCAGGCCGGGATAGGGTGGAGGGGGCTTGGGCTGCGCCCAGAACACGGGGGCCAGGCGGTCCGTGCGAGAGGACCAACGGAGCGCTGAGGCGGGCGTTTTCTTGGATGAATTGCTTGCTTTGGAGGTGGGTTTCGTAGGCTCCTGCCTTTCTTGGCACCTCCCTGTGCTCTGGGTGCCTTGCGGCGGGCCCCGAGATTTGCAGAGCGCGCCCGCCCGTTTGGCGGGAGCCGTGGCACCGGGCGGGCCCGGAGGCCTGGGTCTCTGGCGAGTCCTCGGGACTGGAGTCGTCGACACGAAGCGGGGGGCATTGGGAATCCCGGGTGCACAGGGCCTGTTTTCCCGGTGGCTGGCGAAGCAATGTCCTTCCCCCGGGTAAAGCAGCCCATGCGTTCCGGAGCCGACGTCTTGGCTGGCGTCTGTGGCACCCGCTGCCCCTGCCCGCCCCTTCCCCCGGTTTGGAAGGGTGCGACGACGGCGCCCGATGGGTGAATTGAATCGCCTGGGCGTTCCGGGAGCGGGAAGGCACCGCGAACGGCAGGGAACCCAGCGGCTGCGCCTTTGGGGTCCGGCCCCCTGCCCTCCCAGGCTGGAGCCGGGCTCCTGGCGGGGCGGCGGCGAGGCGGAAGCGGTGGGATGCTGCTGCCCGGCCGGCGTGCAGTAGGGGCGGACCCCCAGCAGGAGGACCCCGGCTGCGGCTGCGGCGGGGGTGTAGGTGGGCGGTAAAGGGGGAGCAGAGTCAGGGGAGGTTGGGTAGCATGGCGACTGTGGGGGGAAGGGAGGCAGCCGGGAAGCCACAAAAGCCTACAGCAGGCCGGGCGGGCGCGGTGGCTCGCGCCTGTAATCCCAGCACTCTGGGAGGCCGAGGCGGGTGGATCACGAGGTCAGGAGCTCCAGACCATCCCGGCTAACAGGGTGAAAGCCCGTCTCTAGGAAAAATAGAACAAAGTAGCCGGGCGTGGTGGCGGGCGCCTGTAGGCCCAGCTACTCGGGAGGCTGAGGCCGGGGAATGGCGTGAACCCGGGAGGCGGAGCTTGCAGTGAGCCGAGATGGCGCCACTGCACTCCAGCCTGGGCGACAGGGCGAGACTCCGTCTGGAAGAAAAGGAAAGAAACAGCAAAAAGCCAAAGAAAAAGCCTACAGCACCCGGTATTCCCAGGCGGTCTCCCATCCAAGTACTAACCAGGCCCGACCCTGCTTAGCTTCCGAGATCAGACGAGATCGGGCGCGTTCAGGGTGGTATGGCCGTAGACGCTGAAGGAGGCGCCTGGCTGCCCCAAGAGCCCAGCCCGGCCCGGCCGTGCCCGCCGGATTGCAGCCGACACCGCCAGCCCGGGGCCGCGGGGCTCGGATCGGGGACCCCCGAGCCGCTGGCCCGCGGCCTTCCCCCGGCTCCCGCGCTCCCGAGCTTCCACCACATCGGGCCCGCTCGGAGCAGGGAGTGCTCCGAGGCGTCAGGGCCCAGGGCCCACGATCCTGGGACGCCCTCCGGTCCTCCGCCCTGTCGCGGAGGCAGCGTTTTGGATCCCTCGCCGCACAGGGGCTCCTGCGAGGGCTCCTCTTGCCCCACCCACCCAGAGCCGTCAGGGCTGGCCGAAGGCGAACAGCCGGCCCAGCCGCGCGGGGCCTTTCTCTCACAACGCCCCCACCACGGTCGCTTGTCCCGACCAAGACCCGGCCGGGGGGGCAAGAGGGCGTGGGGTGTAGCGGGTCGGGGGGTGGCCCTGTTTTGCCCCGGGCTGGCACTAGAGGCGGCGGCCTGATCTCGGGTGAGAGGGCCTGAGAGAAACCCAGACACACCCCACCGCCACCAGGAGCAAATCCACTCCCCCACACACAGACACACCCGGGCGCGCTCGCACCCGCGCGCGCGGACACACACACACACACAGACACACACGCACACACGCACGCGCACACGCACGCACACACACACGCGGCTTGAAGGAGAGCAAGGACGAGATGGATGGAGAGATAGAAACCGAGGGAGGGAGAGAGACAGCGATCGAGAGAGACAGGGGAGGGCGAGAGGGAAGGAGACAGACAGAGAGGCTGAGAAAGAGAGAGGCACAGAGAAAGAGAGAGAGAGAGACAGAGAGACAGAGGGAAAACGACAAAAGTAGCGCGAGGTCCAGGGGGAAACCCAGAAGAGAGAGGCGGAGGGAGCTAGAGAGCGAGAGCGATAGAGCCTTAGAGAGGAAGCGCCCGGCTCCGTTAGGCAGCGCCCTCTTGAGCAGGCCGGGATAGGGTGGAGGGGGCTTGGGCTGCGCCCAGAACACGGGGGCCAGGCGGTCCGTGCGAGAGGACCAACGGAGCGCTGAGGCGGGCGTTTTCTTGGATGAATTGCTTGCTTTGGAGGTGGGTTTCGTAGGCTCCTGCCTTTCTTGGCACCTCCCTGTGCTCTGGGTGCCTTGCGGCGGGCCCCGAGATTTGCAGAGCGCGCCCGCCCGTTTGGCGGGAGCCGTGGCACCGGGCGGGCCCGGAGGCCTGGGTCTCTGGCGAGTCCTCGGGACTGGAGTCGTCGACACGAAGCGGGGGGCATTGGGAATCCCGGGTGCACAGGGCCTGTTTTCCCGGTGGCTGGCGAAGCAATGTCCTTCCCCCGGGTAAAGCAGCCCATGCGTTCCGGAGCCGACGTCTTGGCTGGCGTCTGTGGCACCCGCTGCCCCTGCCCGCCCCTTCCCCCGGTTTGGAAGGGTGCGACGACGGCGCCCGATGGGTGAATTGAATCGCCTGGGCGTTCCGGGAGCGGGAAGGCACCGCGAACGGCAGGGAACCCAGCGGCTGCGCCTTTGGGGTCCGGCCCCCTGCCCTCCCAGGCTGGAGCCGGGCTCCTGGCGGGGCGGCGGCGAGGCGGAAGCGGTGGGATGCTGCTGCCCGGCCGGCGTGCAGTAGGGGCGGACCCCCAGCAGGAGGACCCCGGCTGCGGCTGCGGCGGGGGTGTAGGTGGGCGGTAAAGGGGGAGCAGAGTCAGGGGAGGTTGGGTAGCATGGCGACTGTGGGGGGAAGGGAGGCAGCGGGGAAGCCACAAAAGCCTACAGCAGGCCGGGCGGGCGCGGTGGCTCGCGCCTGTAATCCCAGCACTCTGGGAGGCCGAGGCGGGTGGATCACGAGGTCAGGAGCTCCAGACCATCCCGGCTAACAGGGTGAAAGCCCGTCTCTAGGAAAAATAGAACAAAGTAGCCGGGCGTGGTGGCGGGCGCCTGTAGGCCCAGCTACTCGGGAGGCTGAGGCCGGGGAATGGCGTGAACCTGGGAGGCGGAGCTTGCAGTGAGCCGAGATGGCGCCACTGCACTCCAGCCTGGGCGACAGGGCGAGACTCCGTCTGGAAGAAAAGGAAAGAAACAGCAAAAAGCCAAAGAAAAAGCCTACAGCACCCGGTATTCCCAGGCGGTCTCCCATCCAAGTACTAACCAGGCCCGACCCTGCTTAGCTTCCGAGATCAGACGAGATCGGGCGCGTTCAGGGTGGTATGGCCGTAGACGCTGAAGGAGGCGCCTGGCTGCCCCAAGAGCCCGGCCCGGCCCGGCCGTGCCCGCCGGATTGCAGCCGACACCGCCAGCCCGGGGCCGCGGGGCTCGGATCGGGGACCCCCGAGCCGCTGGCCCGCGGCCTTCCCCCGGCTCCCGCGCTCCCGAGCTTCCACCACATCGGGCCCGCTCGGAGCAGGGAGTGCTCCGAGGCGTCAGGGCCCAGGGCCCACGATCCTGGGACGCCCTCCGGTCCTCCGCCCTGTCGCGGAGGCAGCGTTTTGGATCCCTCGCCGCACAGGGGCTCCTGCGAGGCCCCCTCTTGCCCCACCCACCCAGAGCCGTCAGGGCTGGCCGAAGGCGAACAGCCGGCCCAGCCGCGCGGGGCCTTTCTCTCACAACGCCCCCACCACGGTCGCTTGTCCCGACCAAGACCCGGCCGGGGGGGCAAGAGGGCGTGGGGTGTAGCGGGTCGGGGGGTGGCCCTGTTTTGCCCCGGGCTGGCACTAGAGGCGGCGGCCTGATCTCGGGTGAGAGGGCCTGAGAGAAGCCCAGACACACCCCACCGCCACCAGGAGCAAATCCACTCCCCCACACACAGACACACCCGGGCGCGCTCGCACGCGCGCGCGCGGACTCACACACACACACACAGACACACAGACACACACGCACACACGCACGCGCACACGCACGCACACACACACGCGGCTTGAAGGAGAGCAAGGACGAGATGGATGGAGAGATAGAAACCGAGGGAGGGAGAGAGACAGCGATCGAGAGAGACAGGGGAGGGCGAGAGGGAAGGAGACAGACAGAGAGGCTGAGAAAGAGAGAGGCACAGAGAAAGAGAGAGAGAGAGACAGAGAGACAGAGGGAAAACGACAAAAGTAGCGCGAGGTCCAGGGGGAAACCCAGAAGAGAGAGGCGGAGGGAGCTAGAGAGCGAGAGCGATAGAGCCTTAGAGAGGAAGCGCCCGGCTCCGTTAGGCAGCGCCCTCTTGAGCAGGCCGGGATAGGGTGGAGGGGGCTTGGGCTGCGCCCAGAACACGGGGTCCAGGCGGTCCGTGCGAGAGGACCAACGGAGCGCTGAGGCGGGCGTTTTCTTGGATGAATTGCTTGCTTTGGAGGTGGGTTTCGTAGGCTCCTGCCTTTCTTGGCACCTCCCTGTGCTCTGGGTGCCTTGCGGCGGGCCCCGAGATTTGCAGAGCGCGCCCGCCCGTTTGGCGGGAGCCGTGGCACCGGGCGGGCCCGGAGGCCTGGGTCTCTGGCGAGTCCTCGGGACTGGAGTCGTCGACACGAAGCGGGGGGCATTGGGAATCCCGGGTGCACAGGGCCTGTTTTCCCGGTGGCTGGCGAAGCAATGTCCTTCCCCCGGGTAAAGCAGCCCATGCGTTCCGGAGCCGACGTCTTGGCTGGCGTCTGTGGCACCCGCTGCCCCTGCCCGCCCCTTCCCCCGGTTTGGAAGGGTGCGACGACGGCGCCCGATGGGTGAATTGAATCGCCTGGGCGTTCCGGGAGCGGGAAGGCACCGCGAACGGCAGGGAACCCAGCGGCTGCGCCTTTGGGGTCCGGCCCCCTGCCCTCCCAGGCTGGAGCCGGGCTCCTGGCGGGGCGGCGGCGAGGCGGAAGCGGTGGGATGCTGCTGCCCGGCCGGCGTGCAGTAGGGGCGGACCCCCAGCAGGAGGACCCCGGCTGCGGCTGCGGCGGGGGTGTAGGTGGGCGGTAAAGGGGGAGCAGAGTCAGGGGAGGTTGGGTAGCATGGCGACTGTGGGGGGAAGGGAGGCAGCGGGGAAGCCACAAAAGCCTACAGCAGGCCGGGCGGGCGCGGTGGCTCGCGCCTGTAATCCCAGCACTCTGGGAGGCCGAGGCGGGTGGATCACGAGGTCAGGAGCTCCAGACCATCCCGGCTAACAGGGTGAAAGCCCGTCTCTAGGAAAAATAGAACAAAGTAGCCGGGCGTGGTGGCGGGCGCCTGTAGGCCCAGCTACTCGGGAGGCTGAGGCCGGGGAATGGCGTGAACCTGGGAGGCGGAGCTTGCAGTGAGCCGAGATGGCGCCACTGCACTCCAGCCTGGGCGACAGGGCGAGACTCCGTCTGGAAGAAAAGGAAAGAAACAGCAAAAAGCCAAAGAAAAAGCCTACAGCACCCGGTATTCCCAGGCGGTCTCCCATCCAAGTACTAACCAGGCCCGACCCTGCTTAGCTTCCGAGATCAGACGAGATCGGGCGCGTTCAGGGTGGTATGGCCGTAGACGCTGAAGGAGGCGCCTGGCTGCCCCAAGAGCCCGGCCCGGCCCGGCCGTGCCCGCCGGATTGCAGCCGACACCGCCAGCCCGGGGCCGCGGGGCTCGGATCGGGGACCCCCGAGCCGCTGGCCCGCGGCCTTCCCCCGGCTCCCGCGCTCCCGAGCTTCCACCACATCGGGCCCGCTCGGAGCAGGGAGTGCTCCGAGGCGTCAGGGCCCAGGGCCCACGATCCTGGGACGCCCTCCGGTCCTCCGCCCTGTCGCGGAGGCAGCGTTTTGGATCCCTCGCCGCACAGGGGCTCCTGCGAGGCCCCCTCTTGCCCCACCCACCCAGAGCCGTCAGGGCTGGCCGAAGGCGAACAGCCGGCCCAGCCGCGCGGGGCCTTTCTCTCACAACGCCCCCACCACGGTCGCTTGTCCCGACCAAGACCCGGCCGGGGGGGCAAGAGGGCGTGGGGTGTAGCGGGTCGGGGGGTGGCCCTGTTTTGCCCCGGGCTGGCACTAGAGGCGGCGGCCTGATCTCGGGTGAGAGGGCCTGAGAGAAACCCAGACACACCCCACCGCCACCAGGAGCAAATCCACTCCCCCACACACAGACACACCCGGGCGCGCTCGCACCCGCGCGCGCGGACACACACACACACACAGACACACACGCACACACGCACGCGCACACGCACGCACACACACACGCGGCTTGAAGGAGAGCAAGGACGAGATGGATGGAGAGATAGAAACCGAGGGAGGGAGAGAGACAGCGATCGAGAGAGACAGGGGAGGGCGAGAGGGAAGGAGACAGACAGAGAGGCTGAGAAAGAGAGAGGCACAGAGAAAGAGAGAGAGAGAGACAGAGAGACAGAGGGAAAACGACAAAAGTAGCGCGAGGTCCAGGGGGAAACCCAGAAGAGAGAGGCGGAGGGAGCTAGAGAGCGAGAGCGATAGAGCCTTAGAGAGGAAGCGCCCGGCTCCGTTAGGCAGCGCCCTCTTGAGCAGGCCGGGATAGGGTGGAGGGGGCTTGGGCTGCGCCCAGAACACGGGGGCCAGGCGGTCCGTGCGAGAGGACCAACGGAGCGCTGAGGCGGGCGTTTTCTTGGATGAATTGCTTGCTTTGGAGGTGGGTTTCGTAGGCTCCTGCCTTTCTTGGCACCTCCCTGTGCTCTGGGTGCCTTGCGGCGGGCCCCGAGATTTGCAGAGCGCGCCCGCCCGTTTGGCGGGAGCCGTGGCACCGGGCGGGCCCGGAGGCCTGGGTCTCTGGCGAGTCCTCGGGACTGGAGTCGTCGACACGAAGCGGGGGGCATTGGGAATCCCGGGTGCACAGGGCCTGTTTTCCCGGTGGCTGGCGAAGCAATGTCCTTCCCCCGGGTAAAGCAGCCCATGCGTTCCGGAGCCGACGTCTTGGCTGGCGTCTGTGGCACCCGCTGCCCCTGCCCGCCCCTTCCCCCGGTTTGGAAGGGTGCGACGACGGCGCCCGATGGGTGAATTGAATCGCCTGGGCGTTCCGGGAGCGGGAAGGCACCGCGAACGGCAGGGAACCCAGCGGCTGCGCCTTTGGGGTCCGGCCCCCTGCCCTCCCAGGCTGGAGCCGGGCTCCTGGCGGGGCGGCGGCGAGGCGGAAGCGGTGGGATGCTGCTGCCGGGCCGGCGTGCAGTAGGGGCGGACCCCCAGCAGGAGGACCCCGGCTGCGGCTGCGGCGGGGGTGTAGGTGGGCGGTAAAGGGGGAGCAGAGTCAGGGGAGGTTGGGAAGCATGGCGACTGTGGGGGGAAGGGAGGCAGCGGGGAAGCCACAAAAGCCTACAGCAGGCCGGGCGGGCGCGGTGGCTCGCGCCTGTAATCCCAGCACTCTGGGAGGCCGAGGCGGGTGGATCACGAGGTCAGGAGCTCCAGACCATCCCGGCTAACAGGGTGAAAGCCCGTCTCTAGGAAAAATAGAACAAAGTAGCCGGGCGTGGTGGCGGGCGCCTGTAGGCCCAGCTACTCGGGAGGCTGAGGCCGGGGAATGGCGTGAACCCGGGAGGCGGAGCTTGCAGTGAGCCGAGATGGCGCCACTGCACTCCAGCCTGGGCGACAGGGCGAGACTCCGTCTGGAAGAAAAGGAAAGAAACAGCAAAAAGCCAAAGAAAAAGCCTACAGCACCCGGTATTCCCAGGCGGTCTCCCATCCAAGTACTAACCAGGCCCGACCCTGCTTAGCTTCCGAGATCAGACGAGATCGGGCGCGTTCAGGGTGGTATGGCCGTAGACGCTGAAGGAGGCGCCTGGCTGCCCCAAGAGCCCAGCCCGGCCCGGCCGTGCCCGCCGGATTGCAGCCGACACCGCCAGCCCGGGGCCGCGGGGCTCGGATCGGGGACCCCCGAGCCGCTGGCCCGCGGCCTTCCCCCGGCTCCCGCGCTCCCGAGCTTCCACCACATCGGGCCCGCTCGGAGCAGGGAGTGCTCCGAGGCGTCAGGGCCCAGGGCCCACGATCCTGGGACGCCCTCCGGTCCTCCGCCCTGTCGCGGAGGCAGCGTTTTGGATCCCTCGCCGCACAGGGGCTCCTGCGAGGCCCCCTCTTGCCCCACCCACCCAGAGCCGTCAGGGCTGGCCGAAGGCGAACAGCCGGCCCAGCCGCGCGGGGCCTTTCTCTCACAACGCCCCCACCACGGTCGCTTGTCCCGACCAAGACCCGGCCGGGGGGGCAAGAGGGCGTGGGGTGTAGCGGGTCGGGGGGTGGCCCTGTTTTGCCCCGGGCTGGCACTAGAGGCGGCGGCCTGATCTCGGGTGAGAGGGCCTGAGAGAAACCCAGACACACCCCACCGCCACCAGGAGCAAATCCACTCCCCCACACACAGACACACCCGTTCGTTCTCGTTCCGGAACCCGCACGCGAGCACGGGTGCGCAGACGCACGCACACACACACACGGTGAAACACAGACACACACGGCTTGAAGGAGAGCAAGGAGAAGATGGATGGAGAGATAGAAACCGAGGGAGGGAGAGAGACAGCGATCGAGAGAGACCGGAGAGGTGGAGAGGTAAAGAGAGAGAGGCTAAGAGGGACAGAGAAAGGGAGAAGTACAGAGGTACAGAGGGAAGGCTAGAGAAATAACGCGAGGTCCAGGGGGAAACCCAGAAGAGTGAGGAGGAGGGAGCTAGAGAGCGAGAACGTTTGAGCCTTAGAGAGGAAGCACCCTACTTCGGTAGGCAGCCCCCTTTTGAGCAGTCCGGAATAGGGTGGAGGGGTTTGAGCTGTGCCTGAGCAGGGCGGCCAGGCGGCCCGTGCGAGAGGACCAACGGAGCGCTGAGACGGGTTTTTTCTTGGATGAATTGCTTGCTTTGGAGGTGGGTTTCGTAGGCTCCATTCTTTCTTGGCACCTCACTGTGCTCTTGGTACCTCACTGTGCTCTTGGTGCGGTGCAGTGGGCCCCGAGATTTGCAGAGTGCGCCCGCCCTTTTGGCGGGAGCCGTGGTACCGGGCGCGTCCGGAGGCCTGGGTCTCTGGCGTGTCCTCGGTACTGGAGTTGACACGAAGTGCGGGGCAATAGGAATCCGGGTGCACAGGGACTGTTTTCCTGGTGGTTGGCGAAGCAATGTCCTTCCTCCCGGGTAAAGCAGTCCATGCGTTCTGGAGCGGAGATCTTGGCTGGCGTCTGTGGTACCCGCTGCCCCTGCCCGCCCCTTCCCCCGGTTTATAAGGTTGCGACTGCGCCGGATGAGTGAATTGAATTGCCTGGTGGATCCGGGAGCGGGAAGGCACCGCGAACGGCAGGGAATCCTGGCCTGCACCTTAGTGATCTGAGGCGTGGTGTTTCTGCTGGATCCGGTTTCATCGTGTTGCGCCGCCCATCCTGAATAGTTGTGATGTTGTTGCCTGGCTGTGCTGCAGGTTAGCCCACACTAAGCGGTCCCGGGCTGTTGTGTGGGCTTGGGCGTGTGAAAAGAGGGAGCAGATTTACGGTGCGGTTGAGAAGTACGGCGACCAAACGGTAAAGAGGGAGGAACTTGAAGTCTAAACAAGCCTGCGTCTCCTGGTTTTCTCAAGTGGCGTTTCATCTAAGTAGCGGTCTGGCCCAGACCCTGCTTATCTTCACGAGATCAGAGGAGACCGGACGCCTTCGGGGTGGTATGGCCTTAGACGCCGGTAGTGCAGCCTGTCTGCCCCAAAGGCGCGGCTCAGCCACGCCCGTCCGACTCCATGCGCCACCTCTAATCCAGTGCCATGGGGATCTTATCGGGACCCGGGAGCCGCTCGCCGGAGGTCTGGCTGGGTTGCTCTCCGTGTCTACGCCCAAGCACCGTTGCCCGCCGCCTTGCGCCTTCTGTTGGCCTCTTAGAGCCTTCCGTGATTGCTTGCGCCTAGGCCACTCGCTGGACCTCCGCGGCGCCACCCTGTTTCCTCGCGGGAGTGCCAGAGGCCTTTTCCCCTGCCCAAGCTCTGGGATCTCCGGGCAGCCTCCATTCCGCCGACTCTCCAGGCCTTCCCCGGCTCCGGAGCTCCAGAGCTTCCATGACTTTGGGCCGCTCCGGACTTGGTGTGCTCTGAGGTGTCAACGCCCAGGGCCCACAGTCCTGGGATCTTCTCTGGTCTTTTGCCTTGCGGCGGGGGGATTGTTTTGGATCCCTTGCTGCCCCTCTTGCAAGACCCTCTCTTGCTTCACCCACCCAGAGCCGTTTCTTTAAAATTTCAACCATGTTCTGAACTGCAGCTTTACAGTTGAATATTTTCTTTCAGAATAATTTGATTCTGAACTCGGTTTTTCTTGACATACCTGAATTGTTTCATGTGAGCCGGCAATTTCACATGCTTTTACTTTTTCTTTTTTTTAAAATTTTTATTTTTGAGACAGAGTCACATTATAATCTATTACTTCTACTAGAGATCTGTTTCTTCCTATTTAATGAATTATTGCTTTTCATATAGTCTGAAATTTGTTTTTTCTCTCTTTCTTTCTCTTCCTCTCTCTCTTTCTTTCTTTCTTTCTTTCTTTCTGACGGATTCTCGCTCTGTTGGCCAGGCTGGAGTGCAGTGTTCGATCTCGGCTCACCGCAACCTCCTCTTCTGGGTTAAAGCCATTCTCTCGCCTCAGCCTCCCGAGTACCTTGTACTAAAGGCGCGCACCAACCTCGCCTGGCTAGTTTTTGTATTTTTAGCAGTGACATGGTTTCTGCACGTTGGCCAGTCCTGTCTCAAACTCCAGACCTCGGGTGATCTGCCTGCCTCGGCCTCTTAAAATACTAGGTTTACAGGTGTGAGCCACTGTGCCCACCAGCTTTTACTTTTTCTAAAAGCCATGTATTACCCTGTTCAAGGTACTAGAGTACCTGTTTACATTCCTCTATAATATGGCAAACATTACTAATTTTGGGCACACACTCTTCCTTTGTCTTATTGAATTCAAGTACCTTTTCGTCAGGTTTGACTTCCAGGTTCTCTAAATGTGCTTTCTGGAGGCTGAAGCAATCATATTGCTGGAGATATTTCTTTACCTTTTTGATAACTGGTCTAAGAAACAAAGATTTTACATTTTATCAGGATAATTATCTGTGGTTCCTGTTGCTTGTTTTTATTAGGTTTTTGATTACTTGACAAAACAGCGCTTAAAAGGGTTAAGGGTTTTTAAAAAAATTCATGTAACTGTCTGTATTTCATTTTGAAGTATTTTGATTATCATCCTGGTTAAATAAATGACTATTAATTCACAGTGACATTTGATGCTGTTTTGATAAAGTGTTTTTAACCTTTTGATATTTTGGCAAGCTTTCCCGGGATCACATCCTAAATTGTCTTTTCTTTTTTTATCTTGAATTAACTTGATGTTCCAGAGGGCCCTGAAACTTTTCAAATGTTTATAAAAGAGACATATTAAACTAAATCAGGCTCATTTGAAGATGATAAACTGTATGAAAAACATTGTCAAATAAGTTACACTAGATCTTCTTTCAGTTATATTTTATGGGTGTGTTATTGATATGAATGTTCCAAAATTGTGTAAAACTCCTAGAAATCTAAGACGTCATCAGTTGTAATTCTGCTTATGTTGTTTGACACAAAATAACCAGTTTCTTGTCAATTTCTGGTTATAATAAACTTTCATCAGATTTTTAACCATAATTATTCTATTCTAAGTTTTTGTTATCCACAGTTATTGTTTTGACTTTTCTCTAAAGGCATCTGCAATCAGATTCATAGAAAGAACTCTAACAGGTACTCTTGAATACAGATTTCTAATAACTTTAAGATCAATGGAAAGCAGAGCTGCACTGCGGTTAGGGCCTAGTTCCATCAGCGGCTGCAGCCCCATGGGTCGCCCATGGGGACCCTGGCCTTGGGCACCTGTGGAGTACGTGGCGCTGGGTCGCTGGGTCGCTGGCGCCAGTGTGCAAGATGCTCCGCAAGGAGGCAGCGGCGGGCTGGATGGTGCTTGGCTGCCGGCCCTACCTGGCCTTTACCGCCTTGAGCGTGCCTGGCTCACTCAACATCAACCTCTATTCACTGGTGTGCGCCAGCCCGGGGCGGCTGTGGGGTCAGCGTGCTACTTGCTGCCAGATGCCTCGGAGCACGCTGCTGCTGCAGGAGGGCAGCATCCTGGTGGCCGTGATGGTGCTGAACTAGGGGAGCTGCCACGGGCAGAAGCTGTGCGAGGAGAGTGCCCGGCGGGTTGTCCTCACCTCACTGCTCGCCTGCCTGCCCTCCTGCTGGCGGGTCTACTTCCTCAAAGGGGGATATGAGACCTTCTTCCAGGGTTGCATGGATGTAAAACTCGTTTCACTCGTTTCAAAGTGAGAGAGCTCTCATCAGCCAGTGTGGAAAGCTAGTAGTGCTAAACATCAACTACAGGCCAGCTTATGATCAGGGTGGTCCAGTTGAAATCCTTTCCTCCCTCTACCTTGGAGGTGCCTACCATGCATCCAAGTGCAAGTTCCTCATCAAGCTATACATCACAGCCCAGCTGAATGTCCCCTTGTGGACCTGGCTGTGAGGCCTGCAAGACCCACCTACATACGAATGGATCCTTGTGGAAGAAGGCCACATGGCTGACATTAGCTCTCACTTTCAAGAAGCAATAGACTTCATTGACTGTGTCAGAGAAAAGAAAGGCAAGGTCCTGGTCCACTGTGAAGCTGGGTTCTCCTGTTCACCCACCATCTGCATGGCTTCCCTCATAAAGACCAAGCACTTCTGCCTGAAGGAGGCCTTCAATTATGTCAAGTGGAAGAGGAGCATGATCTCACCCAGCTTTGGCTTCATGGGCCAGCTCCTGCGGTAGGAATTTGAAATCCTCCCTTCCACACCCAATCCCTAGCTTCCCTCCTACCAGGGGGAGGCAGCAGGCTCTTCATTGATAAGCCATTTGCAGACATTTAGCCCTGACTTGAAGGGTGTCTACTGCACATTCCCTGCCTCAGTGCTGGCTCCAGTGCCCACCCACTGGACAGTCTCAGAGCTCAGCAGGAGCCCTGTGGCCACAGCCACATTCTGCTAAAACTGGGATAGAGGAACAAGCCCAGCCCCAAGAGCAGCTATGACTTTTGTTTTTAAGAATGGACATTTCACATCTGTGCAATACTGAAGACCTCACTTTGTCATGTTGCCCCAGTGACATAGTGAGAGGTCACCAGGCTTGCAAATGAACTTCACACAGACCTCAGGGTAGGTTCTCAGGATTGAAGGAAGGCCAAGCAATTACAGGAGCACAGCACGTGCTGACTACTGTACTTCCAGACCCCCTGCCCTCAAGGGACTGCCCAGTCCTTGCACCTCAAAGTTCGCCTTTTCATTTCAAGCATAAGGCAATAAATACCTGCAGCAACATGGGAGAAAGAAGTTGCTGGACCAACAGAAATGGCACTTATGAAGCCAATTCATTTTGAAGGAAGCACAATTTCCACCTTATTTTTCAAACTTTGGCAGTCTCAATGTCTGTCTCCGTTGCTTCAGGAAATAAGCTGATCACCATCTAGTCAGGAAAGTAACCCTACAGGGTTTGTGGAGACATGATATATATGCCAATTTGAACCCTGAAATGTTTTTTACATACCCTCTTGGGTCCAATGGAGGCAGTTGGTTGAAGTAGCAAGATGTTGGCCTTTCTGGGTTTCTCTTTTGCTGTGGCTTCCTCACTGACCTTGGACTTTTATAAGTATGATACAAATCTACACTTGAATAAGTATGACTGTTACTCATACTTGAACTTATCTCATTGCACCTCTTCTCAGCAGCTCTTCATTTGAGAAAATATTTTTTCAGATCATAGACTAAAAAATCATACCATCAAGGTGGCGGCACCAGGTGCCAGGAGGAAAAGGGTACTTGCTGTGTATCCTGGGTCAGTAATATTGAAAACTGTCTTCTTCAGCTTCCTGTCCTTCTATGTGTTGTGTCTCTTGTGACAGTTGTTTTGTCTTCAAGCCACTGACTTCTGGAATTTGCAGATTTTGCAATCCATGCAAATGTGAAGAAAAGCTCTATGTTACTGACCATTGTTGTTGTTGTTTATAGTGCAAAATAAAAATAGCAAAAAGGAAAAAAGATCAATGGAGGCCTTTTGGTGCTTACCACAGACTGTGCTCTTTCACTGACTGAATAGAGAGAGGAGGCAGAGTAAACCTATCCTATATACACCTCAGTCCAAGCCTGGTCTGTATTATGAATGGGGCAACATGGAAAAAGAAAATAAAATCAGCAGACCACATAAACATTTCCAGAACTTTCTTTTTTAAAAAAAATTTTATATTTCTCTTTTATCAACTACGAAGTGCTTGGGAAAAAAGATGTCCATAACTTCTAATGAAGAAACTGATGAATTCATGAAATTGCTAATAAGATTTAGCAAAACAAAAAATTAATTACATGAGATTGAATAACTAATAATGTTTTCATGACTTTTATTTAAAATACTGATGGCTCTTTACTTATATGTTTTGTTTCCCAAATTTAAGAAAATATTTTCGCTTATGCTATCTAAAGTTTTCAGCAATTTGATAAAGCATACATTTATGAACAAAAGTGAAAGCATTTATTTTTTTCTTCCTACTAAGTACCTCCAAAATTTGGAAATGACTTCATGAGTATACTTATTTTTAATGGAAATGTAATTATTTCCATAAGTTCAATAAGAATCACCTCTATAGCAAGATACAATTGGAAATATTGGTTACATTGCCATGACTTTGGAATGTCATATTTAAGGGGTTTATAGATACTGTAAACAAAGTCTAAAGTCTGTCTTGATTTGGCTACCTAGCCTCAAGGGTTTGTTGTTGTTATTTTTGAGACAAGGTCTCCCTCTGTCACCCAGGCTGGAGTGCGTGGCACGATCGTGGCTCACTGTAACCTCTGCCCCCTGGGAGGGGGAATCCAGTGATTCTCA
Source organism: Homo sapiens (assembly GCF_000001405.40). Taxonomy (NCBI): domain Eukaryota; kingdom Metazoa; phylum Chordata; class Mammalia; order Primates; family Hominidae; genus Homo; species Homo sapiens. The sequence goes on from NC_000001.11 coordinate 228,653,267, forward strand.
TGCCTCAGCCTTATGAATAGCTGGGAGTCAGGCTGGTGCCATCATGTCGGACTAATTTTTGTATTTTTTTTTGACGGAGTTTTGCTCTTGTTGTCCAGGCTGGAGTGCAGTGGTGCCATCTCGGCTCACTGCAACCTCCGCCTCCCATGTTCAAGTGATTCTCCTGCCTCAGCCTTCCAAGTGGCTGGGATTACAGGCATGCTCCACCATGCCCAGCTAATTTTGTATTTTTAGTAGAGATGGGGTTTCTCCATGTTGGTCTGGCTGGTCTCGAACTCCCAACCTCAGGTGATCCACCCACTTCGGCCTCCCAAAGTGCTGAGATTACAGGCATGAGCCACTGCGCCCAGCCTTAATTTTTGTATTTTTAGTAGAGATGGGGTTTCACCATTTTAGCCAGGCTGGTCTCGAACTCCTGGCCTCAAGCAATCCTCCCACCTTGGTCTCCCAAAGTGCTGGAATTACAGGTGTGAGCCACTGTGACCAGCCTCAAGAGGTTTTTAAATCTGAAATTACAATGTAGCCAGTTGTTATTCTTGATATGCTTATGCAAATGATTAGGCGAAATTTGATAAAATTGAACTAATTCTGCAAAACATTTTGTCTTTCTCTGATGATCTTTGGTAGAAATTGGGAAGACTGTGAAGAGAAAAGTTATGTTTCCAAAGAACAGCTGTAATACACCTGTTGCTAGAATATAGCCCTGTGCATTGTTTTTGAGTTTTTATTATTTGCCTGTAGAATGAACTGCATCCTAAATTTTTCTAGGTTCCCCCAATCCAGCTTTCTTCCATGTAAGTACCAAGAATTGCTGTGTTCCTGAAGCCCTGTAAGTTGAAACTAGCTGATTTTTTTTTTTTTGAGTCAGAGTCTTGCTCTGTCACTCAGGCTGGAGTACAGTGGCCCAATCAGCTTACTGAAGCCTTGAACTCCTGGGTTCAAGTGATTCTCTTGCCTCCACTTCCTAAGTACCTGGAAACTACAGGCACACATCACCATGACCAGGTAATTTTTAATTTTTTTATAGATGATGTGTCTCTTTGTTGCCCAGGCTGGTCTCAAACTTCTGACTTCAAGCCATACTCCAACCTCAGCCTCCCAAAGTGTTGGGATTACAGCTGTGAACCACAATATCCAGCATAAATGGATTTTATAAGACAAGTCTCATAGTTGATGTATGGGCCATACAGAAAGTTCACTGACCACCTGATGCCATAATCAGAGACATTAAAACTGCAAACCAGAACAAGAAGTTGATTGGCTTCATGATGTGGGCAGCTTTTCCCAAGATAATAGAACAAGACTCCCCATCACCGTGAGAATCTTGCTTCTTTTAATTTTTCCTTGTTTATGCCTACCTCTTTTACTTGGCATGATAATGACATAATTGAAATTTCACGATTGTAGCTACTGTGGGTAACTCGACAGAACCTGATCTAAGAAATCCTTTAGTGCACCTAGTGGGTAACTTTGGCAACATCCCCAACACAGGTTTTTGTTCATATTGTACTATTGGTCTTTTTTCTTTTTTTAGATAGCATTCTTGGCTTTAATTCAACCCAGTCATGGGATACCAGATGATAAAATTGCTCCATATTAGTTTTTGGTTAAATAAGAAAATGCCTGTGTTATTGCTAATTCTATGTGCTGTACCTGAACAATTTTTCTGGAGAAGTTGAGACCCAAATACACAAAATAAAAAAACAGTCCACATGGTTATAACAGACCTCACCTAGTTCCCTATAATGATTTGATTTATTCAGTTGATTGCATTTAATCCTAGGTTCATGGCTCAAAATCATTATGTAAACTGGGGTTATCATATTACTATTAACCTTGCTTTTTTTTTTTTTTTGGAGATGAAGTCTTGCTCTGTCACCCAGGCTGGAGTGCAGTGGCGCGATCTTGGCTCACTGCAACCTCCGCCTCATGAGTTCAAGCAATTCTCTGCCTCAGCCTCCCGAGTAGCTGGGATTACAGGTACCCACCACCATACCCAGCTAATTTTTGTATTTTTAGTAGAGACGGGGTTTCACCATCTTGGCCAGGCTGGTCTTGAACTCCTGACCTCAAGATCCACCCACCTAGGCCTCCCAAAGTGCTGGGATTACAGGCATAAGCCACTGCACCTGGCCTAACCTTGCTTTGTATTTTATTTTTAAAAAACTTTGTGCCCATGGCTTAACAAATTTATGCAAAAGTGCAACTCCTAAGAAAATAATTCTGGCCCAGAACTTTGGATGATAGCAAAGGCCTATGGAACAGACAAAATTGGGCTTAACAATGGACTCCAGGTAGACTTAGCCTGAGAGCCACTCCCTCTAAACCTCTCTTGTTGCTCAAATGTGGCAAAAAAGGGTTTTGCTAGTCGCGATTCATTTCCCTTGAACACAGGGCTAGACCAGACTAACAGCTCAGGACAGGTACATCTCAGCACTGAGGGACAATCAGAATCTAACTACAGTACGATTGGTTAGTGATGCTTTCAAAGAACAATCTTGATCAAAAAGGGGAAATGTAAAAGTTGTCAGAAACAAAATGAAGTCACTGTGTTAAAACCTTGACAAATGGAGCTGGGGAAGGCCACAAAGAGAGGGTTCTCATACAAGTATGCCTAATGATAAAAACTATCACACGAAAGACTCTGCAAAAACTACAAACTTGCACAAAGACCACAGCCTTACATAAAAAAATACTGTGAAGACATCTGTCCAGCAACTGCCTGACAATCTTGGACTGGGGCCACCTGTGCTATTGATCTTTGTAGCCAATGATAATGATTTCAAAACAATTATGTAATTCTCCTCATTTTTCCTTAAAAAACTCCTGTCTTCTTTTACCTCCCTGAATATGCCTTCCATATTCACTTTGCAATGCTTAGTCTCAAATAAATATCTTTTTTTTTGTTGTTTTGTTTGGCTCTGTTGCCTAGGCTGAAGTGCAGTGGCACAATCATGGCTCATTGCAGCCTTGACCTCCTGGCCTCAAGCAGTCCTTTCCCCACAGCCTCCTGAGTAGCCGGGACTACAGGCATGTGCCACCACACCTGGCTAATTTCATTTTCTTTTAGATTACTTCTCTATCTGTTATTTAGCTTTACACTTCGGTTTGTAACTCCACTTTTTGTTTTCTTTCTTTTTAAAAATTACGCTTTTCCCAAAAATACCATTCACTTTTTGTTTTCTACATGTTTTAAGAGACTAGTGCATAAGAAACAATTTAGTCTATGTTTTTGGACCCATAATACATAAACATGTAATTGTTTGACATCAGTAACTGAAAGGGGGGATGGAGCTTTAAAAAAAAAGAGTTTTTACATGTTACTGAAGTTAAATTGGTATAAATTCAAATTTGAGTGTTAAAACTTTAAGATCCTAAATGCAATTCCTATGGGAACCACAAAAAGTAGCTATAGAATATATACAAAAGGAAATGAGAAAGGAATTAAAATTATTCACTACAAAAATAATCAAATACAACAGAAGATGGTAATGCAGAAAATGAGGGGAAAAACTATAATGCATATAAAAAAAGGTAGCAAAATGACAGAAGTAAGTTCTTCCTTATCAGTAATTATTTCAAATATAATTAGATTAAGCTCTTCAGTCAAAAGATGGAGATTGGCAGAATAGACAAAAACATGAAACCCGATTCTATGCTGTCTACAAGAGAGAAATTTTAGATTAAAAACCACGAATAGGATGAAAGTGAAGAAATAGAAAAAAGAGGCTGGGAGTGGTGGCTCACGCCTGTAATCCCAGCACTTTGGGAAGCCGAGGCAGGTGGATCACCTGAGGTCAGGAGTTCAAGACCAGCCTGGCCAACATGATGAAACCCTGTCTCTACTAAAAATACAAAAAATTAGCTGGGCGTGGTGGTAGGTGCCTGTAATCCCAGCTCCTGGGGAGGCTGAGGCAGGAGAATCGCTTCAACCCAGGAGGTGGAGGTTGCAGTGAGCCGAGATCACACCATTGCACTCCAGCCTGGGCAACGAGAGCAAAAAACTCCATCTCAAAAAAAAAAAAAAAAAAAAAAAGGAAAAAGAAAAAGAATAAAAAAAAAAGAAAAAAGATATTCCATGCAAATAGTGACCAAAAGAGAACAGTAGTGGCTGTACTAATATCAGACAAAACAGACTTCAAAATCAAATAGGTTTACATAAGACAAAGAAGGGCATATATATTAATAAAAGGTTTAAAATAACAAGATAATGTAACAATTGTAAACATTTACGCACCTAGTAACAGACCATTAAAATATATGACGCAAAACCTGATAGACTGAAGGGAGAAACAGACAGTTCTACAAAAGACAAATGGAGAGTTCAATACCCTACTGGTAATAATGGATAGAATGATCAGATAGAGGATAAGAAAACAAGGACTTGAACAACACAATAAATCAGCTAAATCTGGCAGACATGTATAGGACTCTATATCCAGCAGCTGCAATATACACTTTTTTCTCAAGTGCACACAGGACATTCTCCAGTATAGACCATATGTCAGGCCACAATTTTAGTCTCAGTAAATTTTAAAAGATAGATAGCATATCAAATATCTTCTCTGACCACAACAGAATAGAGTTAAAAATCAATAATAGAAGTAAAACTGATAAACTGACCTTTTTTCTTTTTGGAAATTAAACAACACACTGCTATGGTCTGAATGTCCCCCAAAATTTATACGTTGAAATTTAACTGCCAATATGATAGTGTTAAGAGGTGGACAGTGGCCTGGGGTGGTGGCTCATGCTGTAATCCCAGCACTTTGGGAGGAGGAGACTGGCAGATTGTTTGAGCCCAGGAGTTTAAGACCAGCCAGGGCAACATGGGAAAACCTTGTCTCTACAAAAAATACAAAAATTAGGTGGGCATGGTGGTGCAGGCCTGTAGTCCAAGCTACTCAGGAGGCTGAAACAGGAGGACTGGTTGAGCCTGGGAGGTCAAGGCTGCAGTGAGCCATGATCAGGCTACAGGCTACTGCACTCCAATGGGGGCAATAGAATGAGACCCTGTCTCAAAAAAAAAAAAAAAAAAAAGGGTAAAAAGGTGGATTCTTTAGGTGATTATCTCATGAGGATAGAAGTCCTTATGGACGAAATTAGAGCCCTTATAAAAGGACTTGAAGGAGTGGATTCATTCACTCCTGTCTCCTCCACGTGGGGACACAATGTTCCTCCGCTCTGAAAGATGCAGCAACGTTGTGACATCTTGGAAGCAGAGACGGGGCCTTCGCTAGACACTGAATGGGCTGATGCCTTGATCTTGGACACCCCAGCCTTTAGAACTGAGAGAAATAAATGTCTGTTTTTTAATAAATTATCCAATCTCAGGTATTTTGTTACAGCAACATGAACAAATTAAGATATATTCTTAAACAACCAATGGGTTAAAGATGAAACCACAAGAGAAATCAGAAAATACAGTTGGCTGTCAGCATCCACAGGGGATTGGTTCCAGGACCCCATAAGTAGGCCAAAATCCACACAGAGTCAAGTCCTGCAGTTGGCCCTGTAAAACCTGGGTATTAAAAAAGTAAGGCCTCTGTATCCTCAGGTTTTGCACTCTGTGAATACTGTATTTTCAATCTGCCTTTGGTTACAGATGCAGAATTCATGAAATCAGAGGACCAACTGTATTTATTGAAAACAATTACTGTATAAATGCACCCTTGCAGTTCAGATCCATGTTGTTCAAGGCTCAGCTGTACTCAGAAATGAATGAAAATGAAAACACAGTACAGCAAAACTTTGGGATACAGTAAAAGCAGTGCTAACAGGGAAATTTATAGTGTGAAATGCTTACGTTTTAAAAAAACAAAAAACAAAAAGCCGAGCGTCATGGCTCACGCCTGTAATCCCAGCACTTTGGGAGGCTGAGGTGGGCGGATCACCTGAGGTCAGGAGTTCCAGACTAGCCTGACCAACATGGAGAAACCCTGTCTCTACTAAAAATACAAAATCAGCTGGGCATGGTGGCAGGTGCCTGTAATCCCAGCTACTTGGGAGGCTGAGGCAGAAGAATCACTTAAACCCGGGAGGCAGAGGTTGCAGTGAGCCGAGATCACACCATTGCACTCCAGCCTGGGCAACAAGAGTGAAACTCCATCTCAAAAACAAAACAAAACAAAACAAAAAACACCAAAAAGATCTCAAATTAGCAACCTAAATTTACAATTTAGGCAACTAGAAAAGAAAAAAATTAAACCCAACACTAGCAGAAGGAAGGAAATAAAGATTATTTCAGAAATAAATAAAACAGAGCATTAAAAAAAAAGGAGAAAATCAACAAAACCAAAAGCTGGTTTTTTTTTAAAGATAAAATTGACAAACTTTATAGACTGACTAAGAAAAAAAGAGAGAAGACTCAAATTACTAAAATCAGAAATGGAATTGGGGACATTACTATCTGATCCAGTCAAAATGAAAAGGATTGGCAGGGTGAAGTGGCTCACACCTGTAATCCCAGCACTTTGGGAGGCCAAGGCAGGCGGATCACTTGAGGTCAGGAGTTCGAGACTAGCCTGGCCAACATGGTGAAACCATCTCTACTAAAAATACAAAAAACGTAGCCGGGTGTGGTGGCAGGCGCCTGTAATCCCAGCTACTCGGGAGGCTCAGGCAGGTGGATCACTTGAGCTCAGGAGTTCAAGACTAGCCTGGGAAACATGGTAAAACCTGGTCTCTACAAAAAAAAAACAAAAAAAAAAAAAAACAAGAAAGAAAGAAAAAGAAAAATCAGCCCATCTTGGTGGCAAAAGCCTGTTGTCCCAGCTACTCAGGAGGCTGAGGTAGGAGGATCACTTGAACCTGGGAGGTGGAGGTTGTAGTGAGCCTAGATCACACCACTGTGCTCCAGCCTGGGTGACAGATGAGACCCTGTCTCAAATAAATAAATGAATAGGATTGTAAGAGAGTGCTAAGAACAATTGTACACCAACATATTGGATAACCTGGATGAAATGGACAAATTCCTAGGAATATGAACCCTACCAAGACTGAATCATGAAGAAATTGAAAATCTGAATAGACTAGTAACTAGTAAGGAGACTGAATCAGTAACCAAAAATCTCCTGACCGAAAAAAATAAAAAAAAAAAAAGCCTTGGACTTGACTTTTCTATCAAATATTTAGATAACTAATATTAATCCTTCTTAATCCCTTCCAAAAACTTGAAGAGGAGGGAGTACTCCCTAACTCATTCTATGAGGCTACAATTGCCCTGATACCAAAGCAAGACAAAGATTTTACAAGAAAAAACTGTAGAATAATATCCCATATGAAGATTGATGTATAAAAATCCTCACCATACCCTAGGACTGTGAGGTGAAATTCATCATAGAAAAGGAAAGCCAAGCAGAAGCCTAAAACTATACCCCTAGTCTGCCTGGGTGCGGTGGCTCACACCTGTAATCCTAGCATTTTAGGAGGCCGAGGTGGGTGGATTACCTGAGGTTGGGAGTTTGAGACCAACCTAACCAACATGGAGAAACCCCATCTCTACTAAAAATACAAAATTAGCCAGGTGTGGTGGTGCATGCCTGTAATCCCAGCTAGTCAGGAGGCTGAGGCAGGAGAATTGCTTGAACCCAGGAGGCAGAGGTTGCGGTGAGCTGATATTGCACCATTGTACTCCAGCCTGGGCAACAAGAGCGAAACTCTGTCTCAAAAAAAAAAAAAAAAAAAATCTCCTTAAGCTGATAAGCAACTTCAGCAAAGTTTCAGGATACAAAATCAATGTGCAAAAAATCACAAGCATTCCTATACACCAATAACAGACAAACAGAGAGCCAAATCATGAGTGAACTCCCATTCACAGTTGCTACAAAGAGAATAAAATACCTAGGAATCCAACTTACAAGGGATGTGAAGGACCTCTTCAAGGAGAACTACAAACTACTGCTCAACAAAATAAAGGAGGAGACAAACAAATGGAAGAACATTCCATGCTCATGGATAGGAAGCATCAATATCATGAAAATGGCCGTACTGCCCAAGGTAATTTATAGATTCAATGCCATCCCCATCAAGCTACCAATGATTTAACAGAATTGGAAAAAACTACTTTAAAGTTCATGGAACCAAAAAAGAGCCCTCATTGCCAAGACAATCTTAAGCAAAAAGAACAAAGCTGGAGGCATCACGCTACCTGACTTCAAACTATACTACAAGGCTACAGTAACCAAACAGCATGGTACTGGTCCCAAAACAGAGATATAGACCAATGGAACAGAACAGAGCCCTCAGAAATAACACCACACACCTACAACCATCTGATCTTTGACAAACCTGGCAAAAACAATAACTGGGAAAAGGATTCCCTATTTAATAAATGGTGCTGGGAAAACTGGCTAGCCATATGTAGAAAGCTGAAACTGGATCACTTCCTTACACCTTATACAAAAATTAATTCAAGATGGATTCAAGACTTAAACATTAGGCCTAAAACCATAAAAACCCTAGAAGAAAACCTAGGCAATACCATTCAGGACATAGGCATGGGCAAGGACGTCATGACTGAAACACCAAAAGCAATGGCAACAAAAGCCAAAATTGACAAATGGGGTCTAAATAAATTAAAGAGCTTCTGCACAGCCAAAGAAACTACCATCAGAGTGAACAGGTAATCTACAGAATGGGAGAAAATTTTTGCAATCTACCCATCTGACAAAGGACTAATATCCAGAATCTACAGAGAACTTAAACAAATTTACAAGAAAAAAACAAACAAACCCATCAAAAAGTGGACAAAGTATATGAACAGACACTTCTCAAAAGAAGACATTTATGCAGCCAAAAGACACATGAAAAAATGCTCATCATCACTGGTCATCAGAGAAATGCAAATCAAAACCACAATGAGATATCATCTCACACCAGTTAGAATGGTGATCATTAAAAAGTCATGAAACAACAGGTGCTGGAGAGGATGTGGAGAAATAGGAACACTTTTACACTGTTGGTGGGAGTGTAAACTAGCTCAACCATTGTGGAAGACAGTGTGGCGATTCCTCAAGGATCTAGAACTAGAAATACCATTTGACCCAGCGATCCCATTACTGGGTATATACCCAAAGGATTATAAATCATGCTACTATTAAGACAAATGCACGCGAGTGTTTATTTGCAGCACTATTCACAATAGCAAAGACTTGGAACCAACCCAAATGTCCATCAATGATAGACTGGGTTAAGAAAATGTGGCACATATACACCATGGAATACTATGCTGCCACAAAAAAGGATGAGTTCATGTCTTTTGCAGGGACATGGATGAAGCTGTAAACCATCATTCTGAGCAAACTATCACGAGGACAGAAAACCAAACACTGCATGTTCTCACTCATAGGTGGGAACTGAACAATGAGAACAGTTGGACACAGGGCAGGGAACACCACACACTGGGTCCTGTTGTAGGGTGGGGGGCTGGGGGAGGGATAGCATTAGGAGAAATACCTAATGTAAATGACGAGCTAATGGATGCAGCAAACCAACATGGCACATGTATACCTATATAACCAATCTGCATGTTCTGCACATTAAAAAAACTATATCCCTAGTCAAGAGAGAACAAGACAAAATGCTGCATCAAGGGGAATGGCAGAGATAAGTGACACCCTCAAGGGTCTAAAGAATGCAGCAATAGTGTCCCCATGATATTTCTGTTTAAATCACCATTCTGTCCCCTCGGGATCTGGCTGCTCTTGGTGGATGACTCTAGACCAGAGGTCCACAACTACAGATTCTGTGCCCAAATTGTCAGCTGCCTGTTTTTGTATATGGTTTTAACTTTTGTGAACAATTGAGAAAAATAAAAAGAATGATATTTTGTAGTATTTGAAAATTATGTGAAATTCAAATTTCAACAGTTATGAATAAAGTTTTATGACAGCGCAGTTGCACTCATTCATTTATGTATCTTACGGCTGCTTTTGTGATTCAAAGATCAGAGTTGAATAGTCTGGACAGAGACCTTGTGTGGTGTTCTCATTATTTCCCCTTGCTTTAGACACATCACAAACCACAGTGAGGCAACTAGCACACTACAGTGTTTCAAGTGCTATACTTTTTGCCATGCTATGACTTTTCATTTATTTATTTTATCACACTGTAACTGTAACAAGAGAATACAATGTGTGTGCAAATTACCAGACTAGGCACTTATCACAATATTCTCAACTCATAGGAAAGCAATAATAAGGAAAATCGGAAAAGTTAAGCATATTCTTACTATTGAGTTTAAGAAGAAAAAAGAAAAGTTAAAAAAAATTAAGCAGCAATATCTCAACACATAGCTGACATTATTTTTCTTTATTTTTATTTTTCTTTTCTGTTTTTCTTTTCTTTTCTTTTCTTTTCTTTTTTTTTTTTTTTTTTTTTTTTTGAGACGGAATTTCACTCTGTCCCCCAGGCTGGGGTGCAGTGGCATGATCTCAACTCACTGCAACCTCCGCCTCCCGAGATCAAGCGATTCTCCTGCCTCAGCCTCCCACGTAGCTGGGATTACGCGCGCGCGACACCATACCTGGCTAATTTTTGTATTTTTAGTAGAGACGGGGCTTCACCATGTTGGCCAGGCTGGTCCCGAACTCCTGACCTCAAGTGATCCACCCGCCTTGGCCTCTCAAAGTGCTGGGATTACAGGCGCGAGCCGCCACGCCCGGCCAACATAGCTGGATTTCTTTTTCTTCTCCCCTCCCCTCCCCTCCCCTTCCCTCCCCTCCCCTCCCCTCCCCTCCTCTCCCCTCTCCTTTTTTTCTCTTCCCTTCTCTTCTTTTCTTATCTTCTGTCGCCCAGGCTGGAGAGCAGTGGCACTATCACGGCTCACTGCAGTCTTGACCTCTCGGGCTCGCGTGATCTCCCACTTCAGCCTACCGAGTAGCTGGGACTACAGATGTGTGCCACCAGGCTCGGCTAATTTTTTGTAGTTTTTGTAGAGGCGAGGTTTCTCCATATTTCCCAGGCTGGTCTCGAACTCCTGGGCATCGGCCCTCCTCGGCCTCCCAAAGTGTTGGGATTACAGGTGTGAGCCGCTGCGCTCGGCCTGGATTTCTTCATAAAGATAAAATTGGAAATAAAATTGCAGCCCAAGTAAGCTTCCAAGTGGCTCATTTGTTCCTCAAATGAGGAAAGCCATTTGCGGATAGCGAATCAACAAATCATGTTTGTACTCATTTTCTCAGAAACGTATTCTGAGAAAATAATCTTTATGAAGAATGTTAACCTTTTTGCTAGGTGGGGTGGGACTTTGGGAAAAAACCCAACAGTTTATTAAAACAAACAAAGCAAGAAACCAAATTGTCCGGCAGAGGGCAGCATTACCCCACAGAGCCAAAACCTTTGCCAGGAGGAACCCGTGTTCATTGCCAAGATTGATTGATTTTGAGACAGAGGTTTGTCCTTGTTGCCCAGGCTGGAGTGCAATGGCGCAATCTCAGCTCATTGCAACCTCCGTCTCCCAGGTTCAAGCAATTCTTCTGCTTCAGCCTCCCGAGTAGCTGGGTTTACAGGCGCCTGCCACCATGACCGGCTAATTTTTTGTATTTTGGTAGAGATGGGGTTTCACCATGTTGGCCATTTTGGTCTCGAAATCCTGACCTCAGGTGATCCACCGACCTCAGGTGATCCATCCGCCTCGGCCTCCCAAAGTGCTGGGATTACAGGTGTGAGCCACCGTGCCCGGCTTGCCAAGCTTTATTAACTAACATTTGTGGTGCCAGGCTGTTATGGTGATTTCTTCCTATTAGCTTATTTAATCTTCATGAAAACCCTTCAAGATAGGTACTATTTTATTTTCATTTTACAAATAAGAAAACTGAAACTCAGAATGGCTAAGTGACTTTTACCTGGTTCACATATCAATTAAGGTCAAGCCTTTGGCTCCAGGACCTATGTTTTTATTGAAGTAAATGATTATAAAGTGCCTGCTATGCACTAGGCATGGTCTAAGCACTTCACATGCTTTAATTACTTTAATCTTTATGATAACCCCAAGATTTAGGTACTATTATTACCATTTCCATTGTACCGATAAAGAAACCAAGATAAAGAGGTGAAGGTGATCCTACCTTCCCAAGGGAACTCCCACTGTCAGGCTTGAGTCCACAGGAGAGGCTCTAGCTGCTCTACGTGGCAGCACTAGGGTGAAGGCAGTGAGGCTCCTACTGCTCTGGTTCTGGCTGGGTCACACATGTCGGGGATGGGTTGCCAGCTCCCTCAATAAACCCCTACCTAGTCTTCTGAGTGACTCAAATCAGGTATCTTTGGTAGAGTGGAGTGGGGAACAGTAATATATCTTTGAGTGGAGTGGGGACAGTAATATATCTTTGAGTAGAGTGGGATGGGGAACACTAATATGAGTCCCAGAGTCCCAGGATTGAGAACCTGCAGTTCTGATGTCAGAGAGCAGAAGTTGGATGTCCTAGCTCCAGAATAAAGAGCAAATTTGTCCTTCCCCTGTCTTTTTGTTCTGTTGAGACCTTCAAGGAATTGGAAGAATAATGCCTATCCACATTGGTGAGGACAGATCATTTTGACTCAGTCTAGTGGTTCAAATAGTAATACCTTCTACCCTGGGAGAAAGCAGTCCCTCCAGGGTCAGCAAGGCCCCAAGATGTCAAAGCATCAAAAATACAGAATAAAAAGGTCATAATTAACACAAGATGGACAAAAGCCTTCTTCACCCCAGCATCTAGAAGTGTTCTTTTTTTTTTGACAGAACCTTGCTCTCACCAAGGCTGGAGTGCAGTGGTGTGATCTCGGCTCACTGCAACCTCTGCCTCCCGGGTTCAAGTGATCCCCCCACCTGAGCCTCCCAAGTAGCTAGGATTGCAGGCGTGCACCACCATGCCTGGCTAATTTTTTTGTATTTTTAGTAGAAACAGGGTTTCACCATGTTGGCCAGTCTGGTATCGAACTCCTGACTTCAAGTGATCCATCCACCTTAGCCTTTCCAAGTGCTAGGATTACAGGTGTGAGCCACCGTGCCTGGTCTAAGAGCATTCTTTGTTAAAAATTTATTTTATTTTTTCCTAATTGACAAATAGTTGTTGTACATAGTCATGAGGTACCTAGTGATGTTTTGATACAAATAATATCTGGTGATCAGATCATGGTAATCAGTGTATTCATCATTTCAAAGGTTTATCATTTCTTTGTGTTGGGAACATTCAATATCCTCTTTCTCACTGTTTGAAACTATATAATATATTATTGTTAACTATAGTCATCCTACAGTGATATAGAACACTAGAACTAATTCCCCTTACCTATCTGTTTTTTTGTATCCTTTAACAAATCTCTCCCTATCCCTCCCTTCCTATCCTTCCTAGCCTCCAGTGTAAGAGTATTCTTGCTCAGGGTGGTGTGGCAGCCCCTGTTTGGAAGCCAGCAGGGAATGTGCACCCCTGTGACTGAAGACTTGAAAGTCCCCATTCCACAAGACTCAGGCTACTTGGGTACTAAGTAGGACTAAAACCAGAGAAAAAGTAGGCTGGAGCAAAATTTATTGTGCTTTTGGATAAATATCCAGCATTTCCTGTAAAATGTTACAGCAATTCCCTCATGGAATGTAACGAGACTAGAAAAGCCCTCCCAGAGATTTCCCCACCTAGTTTTGTGGAATGTAACTCAGGTGGCTGACCCAGGGTCTGAGATTTGCATAGTGACTTTTAGCGCAAAACATTACCTTTCTTGTGCCTCATCTAGCAAGGCAATTTAGCCTCACTTGTCTGTTATTATTATTATTTTTTAACTATCGAAAGCTCTCTAACAGAAGGAAATCTGAGCTGGCTCTGTTGGAAATAGCTTTCCTTGTAGTCAGGGTGAAATAAACTTCTGTCATGAGCTTGCTATCAGTTCACCTGAGAGATATGTTTTAACACCTAAATAGGTTCATTTAACCAACAAGGAAGTGCTTCTTCTTTTCTGGACACTGCTCCAGTGCTGGGATTCAGAGACTGACCCCATCCTTGGAGCAAGTGGTTAAATAACAGAAGACATAAAAATAAATCAATAATCACAAAACATGTTACAGATGTTTAAAGAACAGTGGAAGCCCAGAGGGAGGGATCAGTAACTGCCTGGTGGCATCCAGGAAGAGCTCAAGGAACTAACATGTTGACAGAGTTTTGAAAGGCAAACTTAGACACGAGGAGGCAGATGCTGGAGGGGAAAAGGTGCAGAGGCATTGAATCTTAAACACACTTGCATCCACGCCAGAAGCAGTCGGGGATGTAGGATGCTGGGAACTTCACAGTTGCTTGGCCTGTGGGAGCCCCTCTCTCACCTTGTTCTTCTAGTTTCTGACTCCAGGCCTCTCTCTGGCCTGTATCTCCATTTATCCCTCCATGTTGGACTTGATTCTGGGAAATCGACCCATGTTTTCAATGACTACATTTGATGTTACCTTTGATCAATACTATTTTTAAATAAAGCAATAAAGTGATAAATACAGCCATATCTCTGGTTAAGAACTTATGAAAAGTTACTGGAGTAGAACTAGAGTCATACTTGACTCACCAAGATTTTTTTATTGTATTATTTAAAAATGATACAATAAAAACCATAATTGTGATATTGTCATATAATAAAAAATAAAGGTTTGGTCTTTGGTCCAGGTTCCTGGCACAGAGCTTCTAAAACTGGTGGAATTTCCTGAGTGATAGTCTTTTGTTATTTATAGTAAGCCTCTTCAACTGTACATGAGTTTATGCTGATGAGATAACTCCTGGTGGTTGCCAAGATAGCTTTAGGATGGGACCTGGTTGCCAGAGTGATTAGAGGGTTACTCACCAATGGCCGATGATTTAATCAATCATACCTATGTAATGGAAGCTCCATAAGACCCCAAAGCAATGGGGTTGAACAGCTTCCAGGTTAGTGGACGCATCCACTTGCTGGGAGGATGCCACACCCCAGCTCCACTGGGACAGAAGCATCTGTGCTTGAGCATCTTCTGGACCTTGCTGTATATACCTTTGCACATGGCTGTTCATGTGTATCCTTTGTAATGGACTGGTAAATGTAAGTAAAATGCTGAGTTCTGTGTGCTCTTCTAGCAAATATCCAACCTAAAAAGAGGGTTGTGGAAATCCCCAATTTATAGCCAGTTGATGAGAAGGATGGATGGCCCCAAATTGCGATTGGCATGTGAAGTGGGGGCTGTCTTGTGGGACCAAGCCTTTAACCTGTGAGTTTCAAGCTAACTCTTGGTAGATAGTGCCAGAGTTCAATTGTAGAACACTTAGCTGGTGTCGGAGAAATGGTCGGTGAGGGCAAACCACCACACACATTTGGCATCAGAAGTGTTCTGTGGGCAGAAACAGATCATAGTAGCAATAACACAGTGCTAAGATGTCATTAGTTGTGAGACACATCCTGATTTCACAGGCACTAAATTATAAAAAGAGCTTTGTCTTAGAATCGATAAAATACACCATCTCGACAGCTGTGTCTGGCTGCTCGCCCAGCCCTGCTACCACCTGCAGGCCTCTAGGTTGCTCATTTCTGATCTAACTTTGACCTCCCTGCTGTCCTTTCAGGCCTACCTGGAAGGCTTGAGCCAGCAGACTAGCTGCCTGTTCTGGCATAGTGTCACTTTTCTCCTCTTCTGACTTTCTGTCCTATCGCAGACATGACAAGGTTGGGGAATCCCAGGAACCCAGGCCAGCTGCAGAATCAGGCAAGTCAGGGACAGATGGTGGCCTGAATGAAAAGGGGCAGGATGGGCCTTGATGGTGTCTGAGATTCCCCCGATGTAGGAAGTGGGTGTCCCTGGAGGGCACTAAGCAGGGCAATGCCATGTTTGTGTGAAACTTGACAACAGGGATTGGGCAGGCAACAGGTGTTTTCTCTAGGCTTGTAAAAACAGGAGTTAGGTAGTACACTGGACTTGAACTTCTACAAGGAACACCACAAGAACCCAGTCCCCCAACCCCTGGCTGTTCCTGCTAGCAGGGTCCTAGGGCTGCTGAAACATTTGCAGTGTGGTTCTTACTGGTGGTTTCATCACAGGAGTTGGACAAGCTGCTTCCTCCCTCCACTAGTCATCACTTCTCAGCTTCCTCCAGGCCTCAGGCATTGCCTGGGTGATGCTGAGCCTGGGCCAGCAACACAGTCTTGGTGGTTCATGTTTCTTGCATTACAGCCTCTGTGCTTTTTTGGATGGAATGTTTAACTTGGAAAATAAAAGCTCTCACCTCCTAATTTTTTCTTCTGAGAGCCAGCACAGCTAAACCTAAGAATGTTTTTTCTGCAGGCTATAACTGAAGGACTGAGGTAATCCATGAGCTTTTATTAAGCCATGTCGCTGGTTAAGAACTTATGAAATGTTATTGGAATAGAACTAAAAGGCCTTAACTTGCTTGAGTAAAATTTTAACTTAGATGTAGTCTCCTAATTCTTAGACCTATGGTGTGTCATGTCTACCTTACGGGTACTTTTTCTGAACCTGATAATAATGGCATGACCGTTTAGTATGGAGAAGAGTATAATTTCCTAAAAATTAATATCATTTTAGCTACTTCATTGTGAAGTGCATTTCTGCCCAGAATTCTCTCAAAGTCATAGTGATGCTTAAAGGATGCAGTTTGTTCTTTGGTGCACTTCAAACTGAAAATCATAAGGGTGCTGAGATAGTGATTAAAGAACGACCACAAGAATATAAACATGAAGTTCAGATAACTAGTTGCTTTTGAAAACCTCCAGGCTCATACACAGTAGCCAGTCAAGTGGGTTAAACATCAAGCCCTTATGGTGGGCCTGGCCTTGCTCTTGGCAATGGGATAAATAAAGTTGCTGCTACTAAGAATCTCATGCAGAATAGTAAGTAGGTAAGTTAACGGCAGTACTGGTAAGAGCAGTAAAGAGGATGAATTAGAATCTTGTGGGGCTGATTTAGATGGGGTTGGGGGTCAGGAAAGACCTCTCTGAAGAAGTGAGAACAGATCCATTTATTTTAACTTAAATGTCAGTTAAAACCTGAGAACAGATCCTTGTCAAAAATGTGGCCCAGCCCAGATAATCATTAAGGCCACCCCCTTTCCTCAGCAGAGCTAGATTAGGGGCCTCTTCGCTAGCTGGGCAGTTGCCCAGAGCACTAATAATTAAGGAGAACAGAAACATCAACTGGAGGAATTCAGCAAAATGTAAATCAGTCCTTCCAACAAATGATGAGAATGTCCCAATGGAAAATAAAACTGAAGAGTGAACACCATCTCTTACCTCTCAAGGTCTCTCCTTTAGGATGGGTCAAGTGTTAGGAAAAGCCAACCTAAAAAGCATAAGAAGAGTAGCCACTTAACAGACCAGTTCTACATTCTTCTGGAACGTTCTATGATGACTTACTTGGATGAGATCTTCCTACTTCCTCATTCCCAGCATAGATGTTGATATTGTTTGGGTCTGTGTCCCCACTCAAATCTCATGTCGAGTTGTGATTCTCAGTGTTGGAGCAGAGGCCTGGTGGGAGGTGACTGGATCATGGGGGCGGACTTCTCCCTTGCCGTTCTCATGATAGTGAGTGAGTTCTCACAAGCTCTGGTGGTTTAAAAAGTGTGTGGTACTGCCCCCTTTACTCTCTGTCTGTTGCTCCACTGTGGGAAGAAATGCTTGCTTCCTCTTCACCTTCTGCCATGATTGTAAGTTTCCTGAGGCCTCCCTAGCCATGTCTCCTGTACAGCCTACAGAACTGTGAGTTGATTAAACCTCTTTTCTTCATAAATTACCCAGTCTTAAGTTGTTGTTGTTGTTTTTTCAGATGTAGTCTCACTCCTGTTGTGCAGGCTGGAGTGCAGTGGCGTGATCTTGGCTCACTGCAACCTCCACCTCCCGGGTTCAAGTGATTCTCCTTCCTCAGCCTCCTGAGTAGCTGGGATTACAGGCATGCATCATCATGCCCAGCTAATTTTTGTATTTTTAGTAGAGACAGGTTTTCGCCATGTTGGCAAGGCTGGTCTCAAACTCCTGACCTCAGGTGATCCACTCGCCTTGACCTCCCAAAGTTCTAGGATTACAGGTGTGAGCCACCATGCCTAGCCTCAAGTAATTCTTTATAGCAATGTGAAAACAGACTAATACAGATGTCTTATGGTCTATTTCTTAAGAAATAAGGTGGTAATTTTTATTATTTTTAAATATGGAAAATGTGAATTTAAAAATATGACAATCGGCCGGGGGTGGTGGGTCATGCCTGTAATCCAAGCACTTTGGGAGGCCGAGGCAAGTGGATTACGTTAGGTCAGGAGTTTGAGATCAGCCTGGCCAATGTGGTGAAACCCCGTCTCTACTAAAAGTACAAAAATTAGCCCAGCATGGTGGTGGGTGCCTGAAATCCCAGCTACTCATGAGGCTGAGGCAGGAGAATCACTTGAACCTAGGAGGCGGAGGTTGCAGTGAGCTGAGGGCCACTGCACTCCAGCCTGGGTGACAGAGCAAGACTCCATCTCAAAAAAAAAAAAAAAAAAAAAAAGAGAACTAAGTGAAAAGGATTGATGGAAATATTTTCAACTTTAACACCGTGATTTCTAACCAGTGGACACTAAGTGGTCATCAAATCCATATTTGTACCAGGTATAGTCTTAGTGACTTTATATGAATTTATTGCCATTTTTCAAAATAATATAGATCTTGTGATTATACATTTATCTAGTTATATAACTGAGTTCTGTTCTTGTACATTCTTTTGAATAAATGTATACACCAAAGAGAAAACTATCATGTAGGAGTCAGCCATGTTTATGTAAGTGTGCACACTGGTGCACATGCACACAAATCAAAAGAGTTCCTGAAACTTAAGTGAATGGAAATGATTGTGCTTACATATATGCCAAACATTCTTCTAGAAAACAGAGCAAAAAATCTAGGGCCTTCATTTTGATATAATTGCATTTTCATATATATACACACATACATGTTTTTGAGATGGAGTTTTGCTCTTGTTGCCCAGGCTGGAGTGCAATGGTGCAACCTCAGCTCACTGCAACCTCTGCCTCCCGGGTTCAAGCAATTCTCCCACCTCTGGAGTAGCTGGGATTACAGGTGCCCGCCACCAGACACAGCTGATTTTTTGTATTTTTAGTAGAATTGTTGTTTCAACATGTTTGCCAGGCTGGTCTCGAACTTCTGACCTCAGATGGTCCACCTGCTTCGGCCTCCCAAAGTGCTGGGATTACAGGCACGAGCCACTGTGCCCAGCCGCATTTTCATATTTTAAAAGAAAATTTTAATAGCACAAAGTTAAACCTTTGTAACTTAAATTTGAAGTCGGAATTTAGGTGGGTCAGCTTGATCTTTCCAGTTAAGTCAAAAACTACTGATAAAAATGTGAGAATGAGATGTATTCCCTCAAAGATGATGATGCACATGCCCAAGTTTAATACTGCAGTAGTGGGGAGTGGAGAAATTAGTTTAAACTACCTGGATACACTATTTTCATAAATCACCTTTGCCATCACCTCAGGAAGTTTGAGTTTTTCTCCGGGGGTATGATCCAAACTTGCGTTGCCATAGCATCCAAGCCTTTTTCAGTGGTTTTGTCTTACTGTGTTACTACGGTTTCCCACTGCCTAGTATTACCCAGCAAGAGAGTACTGAGACAAAGTCAATGAATTGGCTGGGTTTCAGGCAGATTACTTCTTACTCCCTGCAGGTAGCAGCAGCCCGATTTCCACCTGTAATTGGGATGAACTGCCACAGCTTATTCTTTACTTCTTGTCTAGTGGCACAAGTAACCCTAAATGGCTAGGGTAGTCTCAACTTCCAATTTTATTTTTACTTGATTAAAAAAATTCATATTGAAATATACGTGCCCCAAATGCAAATGTTTTAAGCATAGAACCTGGCAAACTGGCAAACATACACACTTGTACTCATCACTCAGATCAAGAAATAGAACATTCTTAGTATCCCAGAAGCCCCATCTGATCACTTTTCCTAATCTTTTCTTCACGGGACACCACTAATCTAACTCCTTAAACCACACATTAGTTTTGCTTGTTCTTGATCTTTGTAAAATGGAATCACAGCATGCATTCTTTGTGATAGTTTTCTTTAGCTCAACATTATTTTGGTGAGATTCATTCATGTTTTTGCAGTTGTAAGTTGGTTTATTTTCATAGCTGCTTGAATATACCCCAATTAATTTATCCATCCACTATGAGGGACATTAGGGGTGTGATATGGTTTGAATTGGTGTCCCTGCTCAAATCTCATGTTAAATTGTAATCCCCAGTATCGGAGGAGGGACCTGGTGGGAAGTGATTGGCTCATGGGGACGGATTTCCTCCCTGCTGTTCTTGTGATCATGAGAGAGTTTTCAAGAGAGCTGGTTGTTTAAAAGTGTGTAGCACCTTCCCCTTCACTCTCTTCCTCCTGCTCTGGGCATGTAAGACATGCCTCCTTCCTTTTCACCTTCCGCCATAATGTAAGTTTCCTGAGGCCTTCTCAGTCATGCTTCCTGTATAGCATGCACAATTGTGAGCCAAATAGACTTATTTTCTTTATAAATTACCTAGTCTCAGGTAGTTCTTTATAGCAGTGCAAGAACAGACTAATACAGGGTGTTTACAGCTTTAGGTTATTCTAAATAGCATATGTCTTTTGGAGCACATGTGAATACATTTCTATTGAGCGTATCTAGTGCTACAGTTGCTGGGTCATAGGAAATGTGCATGCTCTACTTTAGTAGATCCTTCCAAAGAATTTGTCAAAAGTGATTGTACCAATTTACGCTTCCCATCATGACAGTTTTAGTTTTTCCGCATTCTTGCCAACACTGGCTTTTGCATTTTAGTTACTCTGGTGGAACTATAGTGGAAGTGTTGTGGTTTTAACTTGCATTAATTTGATAACAATTGATATTGAGTTCCTTTTCATGCATGCATTGGCCATTTGAATATCCTCTTTTGTGAAGTTATATATCTTGGCCATTTTTCTATTTGTCTTTTCTTATTAAGTCTTCCTTTGTCAAATATATACTGCAAACACATTCTCTTGTCATTTAGTTCTCTTAATGCAATCGTTTGAGGTTCCTGATTTTAATTTAGTCTAATATACACATCTTTTCCTTAGTGTTTAGTACCTTTTTTTTTTTTTTTTTGAGAGGGAGTTTCACTATTGTCACCCAGGCTGGAGCGCAGTGGTGCAATTTCGGCTCACTGCAACCTCTGCCTCCCAGGTTCAAGCGATTCTCCAGCCTCAGCCTCCTGAGTAGCTGGGATTACAGGTGCCTGCCACCACACCCAGCTAATTTTTGCTTTTTAGTAGAAACGGAGTTTCACCATGTTGTCCAGGCTGGTCTCAAACTCCTGACCTCCAGTGATCTGCTTCCCTCGGCCCCCCAAAGTGCTGGGATTACAGGCATGAGCCACCGCACCCCAGCTGTTTAGTACCTTTTGTACCCGCTAATAAATGATTTCCTACCACAAGGTCATGACTGTATACTTGTATATTATATTCTTTTTTTTAAATTTTTTTTTATTTTTAAGACAGAGTCTCGCTCTGTCGCCCAGGCTGGAGTGCAGTGGCGCGACCTCGGCTCACTGCAAGCTCCGCCTCTCGGGTTCACGCCGTTCTCCTGTCTCAGCCTCCCAAGTAGCTGGGACTACAGGCGCCTGCCACCATGCCCGGCTAATTTTTTGTATTTTAGTAAAGACGGGATTTCACCGTGTTAGCCAGGATGGTCTCAATCTCCTGACCTCGTGATCCGCCCGTCTTGGCCTCCCAAAGTGCTGGGATTACAGGCGTGAGCCACCGTGCCTGGCCTCCTATATTATATTCTAAGAACCTTTATTGTTTTACTTTTCAAACTTAGATCTGCAGTTCACAAGGATTGATATGCTTGCATGTGATTTAAGTAGGGTTCAAGTTTCATTTTCCTCCTTATTGATATGAAATTGAAGCAGCACTGTTTCTTGAAAAGATCATTCTTCCTCAGGGTTCTGCAGTGTCTCCTATCACAGATCAAGTGTGCATAGGAGCATGGGTCTGTTTATGGAATCTCTATTTTTTCCCATCAGTTTATTTTATATCCTTGTATTTATACTAGATAAATTTTAGTAGTGTTAGTCCTTGAACTATCTCCTCCTTCTTCTACATTTTTGTAGCTACTTTTGTTTATTTCCACAAATTTTAGATTGACTTTTAAATTTCCACACACAGACACAAAAGCTATTGGGATTTTGTTTGAGATTGCATTGAATCTATAGATAAATTTGTCTTTCCCATAGTGACTCTTTTTCAATCCTCAGGCAAAGTACATACCGCTCCATCTGTTGCATTTATTTATGTTTTCTTTAATTTGCTTCAGTAATGTTTAATACACTTTTGTGTAGAGGTATTCCACACTTTTATTACATCTATTCTTGAGAATTTGATGTTTTTAAAAGGCTATTATAACAGATTTTTCTGTAATTTAATCTGTAATGCTCACTGCTGCTATAATGGATTTCATATATGAAAACTTAACAAAACTATTGGATTTCATATTGGTATAATGATTTTATATTCAGAGATCTTACAGGAGTTTATATGATTGACCTAAAAAGAAGAAGCAGAGGCAAAATTAATACAGAGATTTTATTTGGACTAGGGTTTAGGGCTGCAGCCCAGGATACACTTTCAGGTTTCTTTGGAGAGTGATCCAGAGAACAGAGGAGAAACTCAAGTTTTCAGAAAAAAAAAAGGAAAAATTAGGAGAAGAGGCCATTACAAAAGTTATTCATCAGGAATTTTCACTGGTTTACAGAAATAGCATATATGGCATGTTATGGCTACTTGGTTTCAGTTAGTCTAGAGCCCACATAACAAGTGGCTTCAAGAGGTAATTATTTAGTTCCAAGGGGAGTGAGCTATGACTGCTGTAACCGCCCCCCCCCTTTTTTTTTTAAAGTGACAGAGTCTCCCTGTGTTGCACCAGGCTGGCCTTGAACTCTTGACCTCAAGCAATCCTTTCACCTTGACCTTCCAAAGCACTGAGATTACAGGTGTGAGCCTCAGTGCCTGAACCTTACTCTTATATTTTAAATGCCTCTCTGGGCCTGATAATTTAAAGGGGTTCACATTCCTCAGATTAAAAAAATGTTTTTTGTTTGTTTGTTTGTTTTTGCCCAGACATGGTGGCTCATACCTGTAATCCTAGCACTTTGGATTTTGGGAGGCTGAGATGGGAGGACTGCTTGAGGCCAAGAGTTTGAGACCAGCCTGGTCAATATGGTGAGTCTCCATCTCGAAAAAAAACTGTTTTTTAGTTTCTCAATATGTAGATTCTTTTGGACTCTATCTCTCTCTATATATTGTCACACACGTCCATGTGAGGAGACCACCAAACAGGCTTTGTGTGAGCAACAAGGCTGTTTATTTCACCTGGGTGCAGGCAGGCTGAGTCTGAAAAGAGAGTCAGTGAAGGGTGGTGGGATTATCATTAGTTCTTGCAGGTTTTGGGATAGGCGGTGGAGTTAGGAGCAATGTTTTGCAGGCAGGGGGTGGATCTCACAAAGTACATTCTCAAGGGTGGGGAGAATTACAAAGAACCTTCTCAAGGGTGGGGGAGATTACAAAGTACATTGATCAGTTAGGGTGGGGCAGAAACAAATCATAATGGTGGAATGTTATCAGTTAAGGCTATTTTCACTTCTTTTGTGGATCTTCAGTTGCTTCAGGCCATCTGGATGTATGCATGCAGGCCACAGGGGTTATGATGGCTTAGCCTGGGCTCAGAGGCCTGACATTCCTGTCTTCTTATATTAATAAGAAAAATAAAATGAAATAGTGGTAAAGTGTTGGGGCGGTGAAAATTTTTTGGGGTGGTATGGAGAGATAATGGGTGATTTCTCAGGGCTGCTTCAAGCGGGATTGGGGTGGCGTGGGAACCTACAGTGGGAGAGACCCAACTGAAGAAAGGTTTTGGGGTAAGGGGTGATATTGTGGGGTTGTTAGAAGGAGCATTTGTAGTATAGAATTATTGGTGATGGCCTGGATGTGGTTTTGTATGAATTGAGAAACTAAACGAAAGACACAAGGTCCAAATAAGAGAAAGAGAAAAACAGGTATTAAAGGACTAAGAATTGGGAGCACCCAGGACGTCCAATTACAGAGTGTCAAAGGGGGTTCAGCATAATTATTTTCTTGGTTGGCAAGTTTTTGGGCTCTATCCTTGAGTTTTTTTTATGTTGTCATATACCAGGCCAGATTGATTTAGGTAAAAACAACACTCTTCATTTACAAATATACAGTCCCCCCCTTTTTTTTAGCAGTGAGTAAGTCAGGGCCTCAGCGATTTTGGAGGAAAGTGAAATGCAAAGCCAGCAATTGTTTGTTAAAGAAGGATTAGAAACGGCTAGGAGAGAGTGAATTTGATAGTGTGGTGGAGATAGCTGCGGAGAGGTAGAAGGTGGCATAAGAACGGGAACCAGAATAAGAGTGAGTATAAAAATAAAGAATAGGACTTCATCAGGGTGAAAGTATTGGAGGGTACCTTGCCACTGAAGATCTTCTATCCAATTCAAGAGAGGCTTAAGGGTGGCGATTTGAGGTAAAACCAGGAGCCACTAAATACCAAGAGCCTGAGAAACTGCTTGGGTGATTTGACTAATAAAGGCAGGCCCGTTATTGGACTGTATATAGGTGGGAAGGCCAAACTGAGGAATTACGTCTGACAAAAGGGAAGAAATGACTGTGGTGGCCTTCTCAGACCCTGTGGGAAAGGCCTCTACCCATCTAGTGAAAGTGTCTACCCAGACCAAGAGGTATTTTAGTTTTCTGACTCGGGGCATGTGAGTAAAGTCAATTTCCCAGTCCTGGGCAGGGGCAAATCCCCGAGCTTGATGTGTAGGGAAGAGAGGGGGCCTGAACAATCCCTGAGGAGTAGTAGAATAGCAGATGGAACACTGAGAAGTGATTTCCTTAAGGATAGATTTCCATGATGGAAAGGAAATGAGAGGTTCTAAGAGGCGGGCTAGCAGCTTGTAACCTACATGGAAGAAGTTATGAAATGATGATAGATTAGAATGGGCCTGTGAGGCTGGAAGGAGATATTTTCCTTGGTCCAAGAACCATTTGCCTTGTGTGGGAAGAGGTTGATAGGTAGAAGTTTCAGTCGGTGAGTAGGTGGGAGTGACCAATGAGAAGGAGAAAAACTGGCCGTGAGGGACAGAAGTTGGAAGGCTAGCTGCTTCTTTAGCTACCTTATCAGTATAAACGTTGCCCTGAGCGATGGGATGTGATGCCTTTTAATGGCCCTTGCAGTGAATGACTCCAGCTTCCTTTGGAAGTAAAGCGGCCTTAAGAAGAGTTTTTATTAAAGAGGCATTAATGATGGAGGACCCTCGAGTAGTGAGGAAACCTCTTTCAGCCCATAAAACAGCATGGTGGTGTAGGATATGGAAGGCATATTTAGAGTCAGTATAAATATTGATACGTAGTCCTTTTGCAAGAGTGAGGGCTCGAGTTAAGGCAATGAGTTTGGCTTGCTGAGAGGTAGTGGAGGAGGGCAGAAAGTATATGCATCAGGTGTGAGGAAGAAAATAGATTTTGGAAGTTATGAGAACTGTAGAGAGTGAGTTGAGCATAGTTTGTGATTTTGAGGGTCTCTAAAAGTATTAAGGCAGTGGCAGCCACCCCACGCAGACATGAGGGCTAGGCTAAAACAGTAAGGTCAAGTTATTTGGACAGAAAGGCTACAGGGCGTGGTCCTGGCTCTTGTGTAAGAATTCCAACCACATAGCCCTGCACTTCGGCTGTGTGTAATGAAAAAGGTTGGGATGAGTTAGGGAGAACTAGTGTGGGAGCAGATTTTAGGGCTGTTTTTTTTTTTTTTTTTTTTTTTTTTTTTTTTTTTTTTTTTTTTTTTTGAGACGGAGTCTCGCTCTGTCGCCCAGGCTGGAGTGCAGTGGCGGGATCTCGGCTCACTGCAAGCTCCGCCTCCCGGGTTCACGCCATTCTCCTGCCTCAGCCTCCCGAGTAGCTGGGACTACAGGCGCCCGCCACTACGCCCGGCTAATTTTTTGTATTTTTAGTAGAGACGGGGTTTCACCGTTTTAGCCGGGATGGTCTCGATCTCCTGACCTCGTGATCCGCCCGCCTCGGCCTCCCAAAGTGCTGGGATTACAGGCGTGAGCCACCGCGCCCGGCCAGGGCTGTTTTTTAAGGAATGGACAGGGGAGTGTGGAAAGGATTTAGGATTTATGGGGTCAGCTAGGTTTATCTAGAACAGAATAATGGGTTGTGGAGGGAGGTATTGAGGATAGGAGAATATATGGGTTTGGCACCATGGGGTGGATAGGCAAGACAATTTTGTTGATAAGGCGCAGATCCTGAACTAAAATGTAAGGCTTGTCCAGTTTTTGGACAGGTAAAATGGGGGAATTGTAAGGAGAGTTTATAGGCTTTAAAAGGCCATGCTACAACAGATAAGTGATAACAGGCTTTAATCCTTTTAAAGCATGCGGTGGGATGGGATACTGGCATTGATCGGGGTAAGGGTGATTAGGTTTTAATGGGATGGTAAGGGGTGCATCATCCATCCTCAAGGAGGGAGTAGAGGTGGATTAAGGTGGGGAGATACAAGGAGAGGATGTGAAGGAGGCTTTGAACTGGGGGAAAAGGGCGGTAATGAGGTATGGCTGTAGCCTAGGAATAGTCAGGGAAGCATGTAATTTAGTTAAAATGTCTCGAGCCAATAAGGGAGCTGGGCAGGTGAGGATAACTAAAAAGGAGTGCATAAAAGAAAATTGTCCAAGTTGGCACCAGAGTTGGGGAGTTTTAAGAGGTTAAGAAGCCTGGCTGTCATAATCCACAACAGTTATGGAGGCAAGGGAAACACACCCTTGAAAAGAAGGTAATGTGGAGTGGGTTGCCTCCGTATTGATTAATAAGGGGATGTACTTACCCTCCACTGTGAGAGTTACCCAAAGCATCTGTGATGGTCCAGGAGGCTTCCGAGGTGATCCGGCAGCATCAGATCTGGAAGGAGTTGGCCAGGGAACATTGGGTTTGGGCTCCAGGGGCTTCAGGAGCAGCAGCAATGTGAGTCGGACAGTCTGACCTCCAGTGGGGGCCTGCACAGACAGGGCACGGCTCAGGAGGAATCCCGGGCCGTGGGCATTCTGAGGCCCAGTGGCCAGGCTTTTGGCATTTGAAACAAGGTCCACGAGGATGTTTTTAAGGAGCCTCTGGGAGCTGTGGCTTGGATGTTCTGAAGTTTTTTTGTATGCTGGAGATGTGGTTGTGGGTTGTCTTACAGCGGAGGCAAGTAGCTGTAACTCAGAAATGCGTTGCTGTCTGGCCACCTCCTCTCTATTATTGTACACCTTGAAGGCGAGGTTGATTAATTCCTGTTGTGGGGTTTGAAGGCCGGATTCCAATTTTTGAAGCTTTTTTCTAATGTCAGGAGCTGACTGGGTGATAAAATGCATATTAAGAATAAGGTGACCTTCTGGTCCCTCTGGGTCTAGGGCGGTAAAGCATCTAAGGATTTCTGCTAACTAAGCAGGCCATGAACTGGGCTGGGTTTTCATCTTTACCTTGGGTAGTTTCTTTAAGTTTGTCATAATTAACAGCTTTGTGAGCTGCCTTTTTAAGCCCTTCAACTAGGCAAGAAACCATGTAATTTCGCCTAGCTATACCTGGGGAATCTGCCTGATAGTTCCATAGGGGATCTTCTCAGGGAACTGCTCTAATGCCTTCCTGGAGGTCTGGCTCATGAAGCCGGTGATTATCAGCGTGAGATTGGGCTAGAGAGAAGACTCTTTCCCATTCATCTGGGGAGAGGGTAGAAGTTAGGCTGACATTTAAGTCTCTCCAGGTTAAACTGTAGGACAGAGTTAGATATTGGAATTCCTGTATATATTTATTGGTGTCTGATGAGAAAGAGCCTAAACGCTGGCTGATTTGGGAAACGTTTGGTAGAGAAAAAGGCACATGTACTCTGACTATGCCTTCAGCTCCAGCCACCTCTCTAAGAGGAAATTGTTGGGCAGGAGGGGGAGAGCTAGTCGCAGAATGAAACTGTAAACCAGACCGGGTGTGGGAAGGGGAGTTAATAGAAGGGTTATAGGGTGAGGGAGCAGAGGCTGAAGAAGAGTTGGAGCCTGATTCAGCCTGGCGGGGAGCGAGCTGAGGAGGAGCAGTCTGGGGAGGAGGTGAGGGGTCAGATGGGTCAGCAGAAAAGGAAGATTCACAAGACTCAGTGACGACTGGGGTTGAGACTGAAGGGACAGGCGGGAGGGAAAGAAGGAGGATTTGGGATGAGTCGCATTGGGAACAGAGACTAAGGAGGGAACAAAGTGTGAAAAATGCCTGGACGTAAGGCACCTCAGACCATTTGCCCTTTTTTCGACAAAAAGTATCTAGGTCTCGTGGGATGGAGAAATCGAAAGTGT
Organism: Homo sapiens; assembly: GCF_000001405.40. Lineage (NCBI taxonomy): Eukaryota > Metazoa > Chordata > Mammalia > Primates > Hominidae > Homo > Homo sapiens. The sequence goes on from NC_000001.11 coordinate 228,681,643, forward strand.
CATTTTCTGGCCATTTAGAACCATTGTCGAGTTTGTATTGGGGCCAAGCGGTGTTGGAGAAGAAAATAAGATGCTTAGATTTTAGGTCAGGCAAGAGGTGAAGAGGTTTTAAGCTCTTGAGAACACAGGCTAAGGGAGAAGAAGGAGAAATGGAGGGTGGAAGGTTGCCCATAGTAAAGGAGGCAAGTTTAAAGAGAAGGGTAGAGACACGGAGAAGCGGGGTGGGGAGCAGTCCTGGGCTGCAATGTGGGTGAGCAGCCAAAGCAGGTGTCCCCACAATTGACTTGCCACCAAGGGAATGTGGGTGAATGACCAAGGCAGGCATCCCCGTGGTGATCAGACACCAATGGGGTGTGGGTGAATAATCAAGCAGGCACACCCTGCAATGATTAAACACCAAGGGTAGGCTGTCTTCCTAAGTTGGTGACTGGCGCCAGAGTTTTGGGTCCATGGATAAAATGTGTCTCGTTTGTCTCTATTAGAGAGGAAAAATAACTGGACTTGGAAGGACAGGGAGATTGAAGGGTAGGGAGAGAGGCTGGAGAAGAGAGTGAAAAGACTGTTTACCCGATTTGAAATTGGTGAGATATTCCTTGGGCTGGTTGGTCTGAGGACCTGACGTCATAGGTGGATCTCTTCACGGAGTGAGGGTGAGGACAGGGGACTGGTCTCCCGAAGGAGTCCCTCTGACCCGGGTCTTCAGCACCAAATGTCTCATGCTTCTGTGTGAAGAGACCACCAAACAGGCTTTGTGTGAGCAACAAGGCTGTTTATTTCACCTGGGTGTAGGTGGGCTGAGTCCAAAAAGAGAGTCAGCAAAGGGTGGTGGGATTATCATTAGTTCTTGCAGGTTTTGGGATAGGCGGTGGAGTTAGGAGCAATGTTTTCCAGGCAGGGGGTGGATCTCACAAAGTACATCTCAAGGGTGGGGAGAATTACAAAGAATCTTCTCAAGGGTGGGGGAGATTGCAAAGAAACTTCTTAAGGGTGGTGGAGATTACAAAGTACGTTGATCAGTTAGGGTGGGGCAGAAACAAATCATAATGTTGAGTAAAGAGGAAAAGGCAGATCAATAGAAACACAAATAAAAACCTCACAACATAGAAACAGAAAACCGGACCCACCACCATCCATCGTCATTGCCACTTATATAAATATCAGTAAATTTACTTGTAATTCTAAAGGGAGTATGGGAAGGGAGTTGGATGTCACTCAAATCTGACACTGAAATCTCAGATAAGACACAGAGAGGTTGAGTCAGAGCAATGGAGATGTGGGGGTGAGTGGAGTGAAGTAGCCCCATGGTGCTTTGACTTTTCTCAAAGGCAAAAGGCAGCCCCATGAGCCCCATACTGTATATCTTCTGGTTAAGCTCATTAGGAGAGGATGTTAACTGTTTCTCAACCACTAATTTCAGTAAGTGAATCAATCCTTGTTGAGTTGAATGCCCAGAAGAAATTGCCACCCTTGGGATCTGGGCTGGAGTCAACTACACCTGACAGATCTTGTACCAGTTAAGATTTTAACTCGGTTCTGAGTCACTGAAAACCCCATAGGCAGCCACTGACCTAATCATGGTTTGAAGGAGGCATTATCTGATAGCCACAGAGGCAACCGGTCCACCTGTCTTCCACCCTATTGTCTTCTGGTCACAGGACAGGCATTTCACCCCTAGCATCCTGTTTGCATTCTGGAAAGGGAGAAGGAGAAATATGAAGTTTATTTGGTGGTACTATTGTGGGAATAGCCAAATACATCGATGGAGCTTACTTAGGAGATAGGATCAGGTAGATATTGAGATTTTACATATGATATATGTGGGATAAATTATCCAATCAGTGATGTTGGAACAACAAATTTTCCATTTGGGAAATATACTAAAATGATAGAGGAAAATGTTTTTGAGTTCTTGATTTAATGAATGTCTACTTAAAGAAAAAACCCCCACAAAATCCATAAAGGAAAAAATAGACAAATTTGCTGACAGCATAATTTAAAAAATTTCTATAACAAGGACACTCTTTAACAAATTGTAATTGATGATGGCAAAATCCAAATTTTTCCAAAATATTTTTAAAGAGGTTTATTCTGAGCCAATATGAGTGATGGCAGCCAGAGTTGCACGGTTTCAGGAGGTCCTAAGAAACTGTGCGGTGGGGGTGGGCAAGATGGATTTCCCCACGTTGACATTTTGAAAAGATCCCCGTGTCTGGCTGCCTGTGCAGCATGGGAGGGAGAGGGGTCAGGGTAGGTGTGCCTCCATGAGAACCAGATCCTTAGAAGACAATTGGAATGATGGGTCAGAAACTATGGACATGGAGAAAACTGAGGATCTGTGGACTTGGAGATCATAGAATCCCAGCGTATGCCTGTGGTTGAAGACTGGTTTTTGTTTGTTTCTTTCTTTCTTTTTGAGACGGAGTCTTGCTCTGTCGCCCAGGCTGGAGTGCAGTGGCATGATCTCGGCTCACTGCAACCTCCAGCTCCCAGGTTCAAGCAATTCTCCTGCCTCAGCCTCCTGATAGCTGGGATTACAGGTGTGTGCCACCATGATGGTCTAATTTTTGTATTTTTAGTAGCGATAGGGTTTCACCCTGATGGCCAGGCTGGTCTTGAACTGCTGACCTCAGGTGATCCTCCCGCCTCAGCCTCCCACTGTGCTGAGATTACCCATGTGAGCCACTGCGCCTGGCCAGTTTGTTTTTTGAGACTAGGTCTCATGTGTCATCCAGGCTGGAGTGCAGTGGCAAGATCTGGCACATTGCAACCTCCACCTCCTGGGCTAAAGTGATCCTTCCACCGCAGCCCCCTGAGTAGCTGGGACTACAGGCGTGCACCACCATGCCCGGCTAATTTTTGTATTTTTTGTAGAAATGGTGTTTTGCCATGTTGGCCAGGCTAGTTTTGAACTCCTGGGCTCAAGTGATCCACGTGTCTCGGCCTAAGTATTGGGATTACAGGCGTGATCTACTGTGCCCTGCTGACATAACTGTTAATATTAGTCCTTTTCACTCTCAGAATCGTTCCTGTTTGGGTGCTAGATTTTGCAGCCACCCCCATAAGGCAGGAAAAAACATGCAGGCTCTGGTAATAGAGTAGTTGTGAGGGTGAGGGAGAAGGAACCACAAGGATGACTTCCAGTTTCTGGCTTGCAGACCAAAAGGGAACGTGGTGCTGTTCCAGGAAACGGTCCCGATAATAGCTCAGACCCTAAGAGAGTGTTCTTGATCTTGTGTAAGAAAGAATTCAGGACGAGTTTGTAAAGTGAAAGCAAGTTTACTAGGAAAGTGGAGGAATAAAAGAACGGCTACTCCATAGACAGAGCAGACCAGCTACTCCGAGAGCTGCTGGTTGCCTATTTCTATGGTTATTTTTTGATGATATTCTAAACAACGGGTGCATTATTTATGTCTCCCATTTTTAGGCTATATAGGGTAACTTCCTGACATTGCCATGACATTTGTAAACTGCCATGGTGCTGGTAGGAGCGTAGCAGTGAGGATGACCAGAGGTCACTCTCATTGCCATCTTGGTATTGGTGGGTTTTGGCTGGCTTCTTTACTGCAGTCTGTTCTGTCAGCAAGGTCTTTATGACCTGTATCTTGTGCTGACTTCTTATCTCATCCTGTGACTTAGAATGCCTTAAGTGTCTGGGAATGCAGCCCAGTAGGCCTCAGCCTTATTTTACCCAGCCTCTATTAAGATGGAGTTGCTCTGGTTCCAATGCCTCTGACAGTAGGAATTTGGGAATGAGTTTTAACAAATACTTGGAAACTGAAACTCAGAGTGAGAGACTAGAAAGAGAGCAAATGCTGTAAAGAGAAATGACCACAAAGGGAAATTAGGAGAAACAAAACTGGAACCAAATGGAGCACCATTCTCTGGATGGTTGATTCTGTGAAAAATTAAAATGGAAATCTATTGAGCATTTGGAGCCAGAGAATGATAGGATACTGCTCTGAGAATTTACTGGGGAATTTGAGAGTTTTAGAAGATAACTAAAGTATTCAGAGACTCATGAAATGACTGTATGTGAATATATATCTTCCTGTTAAAATTATATATAGGTTAAATGTATTTCTGTTAATCAAAATTAATCTTCTCATTGACTTACATTCTAATTGAAAAACCTCTTTGTTCTCCTTTAGTGAAACCCTTAATCAGTAGCATTTGACACTCAGAACTTTTTTGTCTACCGACTCCTTTCTCTTCAAGAGTTAATCTAGTGCAACCCTTAATTATCCCCAGAGCTATTATTAAAAGAATCTGTAAATGGAAGCATTTTTAAAGCCAAGAATCTTAGTAATTTTATTCTGATCAGAGTTTATAAGATCAGAGTTTTACACTTTGACATCTTATTATATGAAGATGAAATAAAACCATTAAGAGGAAACACAATGTAAGTTAGTGATCAGACTTTTGTATTAGTCCATTGACCCCAAAATCTGACTTGCTTATAGGGTTGTGTTATATTTGAGTTTTAGTTATAATTTTGCTACTTATTAGATTTAGAGGAATTAGTTAAATCTCCCTTATCTTCAACTTCTTCATGAATAAAATAAAAATAACTAACTCATGAGGTTTCTATGATATTTAAATGAAACAATAGCTATATAGTGATTAGTACTTTGTAGTTACTCAATGTGTTTTATTAACTAATATTATTATAATAAAGAGTTTCTGTTTGAGGAGATGAAATATTTTGGAAATAGTGGTGATAGTTGTACAACATTATGAATATAATTAATGCCATTGAATTGTATGCTTAAAATTTCTAAAATGGCAATAAAACAATAAAAATATATAAAATACAATAATTACATATTTGCAGTTTAAAACCTATTATGTTTGACAATATATTTCTGAATTTCAGTTTCAGAAATCTAGAGGAATACTCTCCTACACCATGAGACAACTGATATTTAGTGCAAGCCATGGTGAGCACTTGCCCTCTTTTAGTATTGGGTCGGTGCAAAACTCATTGCGGTTTTTGCTATGAAAAGCAATGGCTTTTTAAAGGTCTGGTCTGGCAACAGAGTCAGCTCTTAAAATGTTAAATTCCTAACTTTTAAAGCCTTGATAATCCCAACCAAAAAGCAAGGGAGAATTTTTTTTTGAGAGGGAGTCTTCCTCTGTCTCTCAGGCTGGAGTGCAGTGGCGTGATCTTGGCTCACTGCAACCTCCGCTTCCAGGGTTCAAGTGATTCTCCTGCCTCAGCCTCCCAATAGCTGGGATTACAGGTGTGTACCACCACATCTAGCTGATTTTTGTATTTTTAGTAGAGAGGGGATTTCACCATGTTGGCCAGGCTGGTCTCGAACTCCTGACCTTAGGTGATTCACCCTTCTCAGCCTCCCAAAGTGCTAGGATTACATGCGTGAGCCACCGTGCCTGGCCGGCAAGGGAGAATTTAAGGAATTATAAAAAATTATAGTGAGCTGACTAGTAGGGGATAGAGTACACAAAACTCATTTTCCACTATTTGAGTGAACAATTGTTTACTCCTCTGAAAGCACCTGTGGGCTTCACTGGCCCGCTCCACTGACCGGCACTGCCTCCACCCAGACTTGCGGGAGTGCTCACCCACCTCAGCGTGACTGTCCCTCCCCTCTGTACTCTTCTCTCTATTCCCCAGTTCCCAAGAGTTATCCCTTTCTTTTTTTTTTGGTTACCAAATTTCTTTATTTGAAGGAATGGTACAAATCAACGAACTTAAGTGGATGTTTTGGTACAACTTATAGAAAAGGTAAAGGAAACCCCAACATGCATGCACTGCCTTGAAGAACTTTGCCAAATACTTTCTTCACCAATCTCATGAGGAGAGGGAACATGCTGAGAAACTGATGAAGCTGCAGAACCAACGAGGTGGCCGAATCTTCCTTCAGGATATCAAGAAACCAGACTGTGATGACTGGGAGAGCGGGCTGAATGCGATGGAGTGTGCATTACATTTGGAAAAAAGTGTGAATCAGTCACTACTGGAACTGCACAAACTGGCCACTGACAAAAATGACCCCCATTTGTGTGACTTCATTGAGACACATTACCTGAATAAGCAGGTGAAAGCCATCAAAGAATTGGGTGAGCACGTGACCAACTTGTGCAAGATGGGAGCGCCCGAATCTGGCTCGGCGGAATACCTCTTAGACAAGCACACCCTGGGGGACAGTGATAATGAAAGCTAAGCCTCAGGCTAATTTCCACATAGCCGTGGGAGTGACTTCCCTGGTCACCAAGAGTTATCCCTTTCTAACATATTGTTCTCCCCCTCTCCCTCCTCTGCTCCATCTCCCTCCCTCTGTCCCTTCCTTCCTTCTGTCCTTCCTCCCTCCCTCCCTCCCTCCCTTCCTTCCTTTCTTCCTTCCTTTCATTTGAGTATTGTTTCCACCCCACCCTCACCCCACAAAATGTGAGCTGTACAAGAGCAAGGATTTTGTTTGTTTGTTTGTTTGTTGTTCACGGATGGGTCCCAGGTGTCTAGGACAGTGCCTGGTTAACAGTACATGCTCCATGAAGATGAGCTATTGTGACTTGGGGTTTTCTGGAACTGTAGCTGGAACCAACCCTAACCTGTTACAGCTCTCCACTCATGCCTCCCACTGCCTTTTGAAGAAGGCCATGTTGTTAATGTTGTTAAGCTGCTGTCTAAAGGACATGAACATGAATTTTTTCTCTGTAGCTGACACAGGTTTCCCCCGAATCCTTCCACTGCCTCTTTCATGTGTGAAGAACAGCAGACATTTGTGAGTTGGCAGCCTATGGACTGAGAAATGTGGACTGCAGCCATAGAATGGAGCAGATTTCCAGGGCATTTGGGTTGCAAATCTCCCATTTTGACCTCCTTAGCATCGTGCTCTATTATTTAACCCCTCCTTCCATTCCTCCCATGTCTGCCTGCTGTCACTTAAACAAGGGAGTCCACCCAGTGTGGGGAATCGTGCCTTTCCTGCAAACCTTCCTGCTGATTTGTGTTCTAGCCCAGGCTCATGAATTAGTTCTGCTGAGCCTGGCCATGGCCAGTTGTAAAGTGCTGTGTGTGCTGATACCAAAAGTTATGTACAAAACACCAAGAAGTCCCAGGATTGGTACTGCCTTTCAGTATTTGTCCAAAATGGTGCTTTTCTCTGCTTCCCTGGTCAAGCAGAATGAACAGGTCACCAGCGCAGGTAGAATTCTCTCAGTGTCACTGTGGTCCTTGCAGGTCAGCTGGATTTGTCAGTTTAGCTGAGTGTGTCCAAAGACCTCAGCCTCCCTTCTGATTTTCAAACAGAGAAACAAATATAAAGCTACATATGGGTGTGTGAGATGAGACTGGCAGCAGTAAAGGTGGCACTTTGAAGAGGCTCTAGGGAGACAGAATGGACAGTAATTTTAAAGTGACTTTGGGAAGAGGCACCACTGACCTCTCCTCCTTCTCCGCCTGAACAGTCCCTTCAGAAGCTGCTTTTCCCTCACTTCCGTCTCCCTCATCCCTGAATAACCCACACATTTGGAGCTTCTCTTCCCACTATCTTCTAGCTTTTGTAGGTTTTTTCCATCTTATTCCAACATGAGAGGCAAAGGACCCTGAGTTTGTCAGACCCAACCCTCGAAGAAGCCGAAGAGTCAAACAAAAGAGGTCATATGTAATCTGTAGTAGAAGCCAGACAATGTGAAAGGGTAAATCCAAAGGCCATTGGAACTTCTGGATCCAGATAGGGCCCAGCAAATGTGTAATAAAGTCAGCAGTGAGAAACGCGATTGGGACATGATACTTCCATGACATCAGTAGCTGTAATCAAGCTGAATCTGCCTGTTGATCCCTATGGAAACTGTCTGCTGACTGTAGTGCTGCTCTATTTTGTTGTCATTTCAGGGCTACAAATGAATATGCAATCACTTGACTACTTTGTTTTAAGCCAGGGGTCCCCAACTCCTGGGCTGCAGACAGGTGCTGGTCTGTGGTCTGTTAGCAACCAGGCTGCATAGCCGGAGGTGAGCAGTGGGTGAGCATTACCACCTGAGCTCCGCCTCCTGTCAGATCAGCAGTGATATTAGTCTCACAGGAGCTCAAACCCTATTGTGAACTGTGCATGTGAGGGATCTAGGGTGCTGGCTCTTAATGATAATCTAACTAATGCCTGATGATCTGAGATGGAACAGTTTCATACCGAAACCATCCCTACCACCCCTAGTTCGTGGAAAAATTGTCTTCCACGAAACTGGTCCCTGGCAACAAAAATGTTGGGAACCACTGTTATAAGCCATCTGTGAACCATGAAATGTTTGGGTCAGTCTCCTGAGACTGAAAATTTAATCAAAATTTCAGCAAGAACTTTCTCTTCCCACACTTTCCAGTGTGCCTGAAACCGGAATTTAAAAAAAATGTAATTGGAGCACGCAGAATCAATTCTTAACGCTGTTTCAATGTGTCCTTTCCCCCAAACAATACACTTAAGACATTTACTAAGTGTTAAAGAGCTACCTCTCTGTACTACTTGCTGTAATTTTCTTTGATCAGACTGATTTTTATTTAAAAGATTTGTTTTGTTTGTTTGTTTGTTTTTGTTTTTTAGAGCAGGAGTGAAAGTTTATTAAAAAGCTTTAGAGAAGTAAGGAAAGGAAGAAAAGGAAGGAAGGTACACTTGAAAGAGGGCCAAGTGGGCAACTTGAGAGACCAAATGCTGAAGATTAGTTTGTTTGTTTTTTTTTTTTCTCTTTGAGATGGAGTTTTGCTCTTGTTTCCCAGGCTGGAGTGCAATGGCATGATCTCGGCTCACCGCAACCTCCGCCTCCCAGGTTCAAGCAATTCTCCTGCCTCAGCCTCCTGAGTAGCTGGGATTACAGGCATGCACCACCACGCCTGGCTAATTTTGTATTTTTAGTAGAGACGGGGTTTCTCCATATTGAGGCTGGTCTCGAACTCCTGACCTCAGCTGATCCGCCCGCCTTGGCCTCCCAAAGTGCTGGGATTACAGGCGTGAGCCACCAGGCCCGGCTGTTTGGTTTTTTTTGAGATGGAGTTTTGCTCTTTTGCCCAGGCTGGAGTGCAGTGGCGTGATCTCGGCTCACTGAAACCTTTGCCTTCTGATTTCAAGCGATTCTTCTGCCTCAGTCTCCCGAGCAGCTGAGATTACAGGCGCCCACCACATAGCCTGGCTAATTTTTTTACTTTTAGTAGAGACGCGGTTTCACCATGTTGGGCAGGCTGGTCTCGAACTCTTGACCTCATGATCTGACCTCCTCGGCCTCCCAAAGTGCTGAGATTACAGGCGTGAGCCTCCGTGCATGGTGGAAGATTAGTTTTAAAAGAGTGTATCACATAGTGCTTAAGTACTGTGTTTTGTGCTTTTATGTTGTCATTAATAGTGCCTTCAAATTAGGGAGGAAACGACTTAACTCAGTTACTTGTAAAAGTTTGGTTGTGAAAGAAGCTAAATTAACTGCGAGGATTCAGCTTATAATTTTTTTTTTTTTAAATAGACTTTATTTTTCAAAACCTCTTTAGGTTCCCAGAAAATTGAACAGAAAATGCAGAGAGTTCCCATATCCTCTTTCCAGGCCTCCCTCACTATCAGCATTTCCTACAGAGTAGTACGTTTGTTACAATCAATAAATCTATATTGACACATCATTATCACCAGTCTGTAGTTTACATTAAGGTTCACTCTTAGTGTTGTACATTTTATGGGTTTTGACAAATGTGTAAGGACATGTTTCCACCACTACGGTATCACACAGAGGAGTTTCACTGGCCTAAAAGTCATCTGTGCTCCACTCACTCATCCCTCCCTCCCTCCCTCCCTCCCTCCAACTCCTGGCAACCACTGATCTTTTTATTGTTTCCATAGTTTTGTCTTTTTCAGAATAGCATATACTTGGAATCTTATAGTGTGTGGCCTTTTCAGATTGGCTTCTTTCATGCATTTAAGGTTCTTCATGTCTTGTAGAGGCTCAATAGCTTATTTCCTTTTAGTGATGAATGATATTCAGGATGTACCACAGTTTACTTATCCATTCACCTACTGAAGGACATCTTAGTAATTTCCAAGTTTTGGCAATTATGAATAAAGCTTCTATGAATATCTATGTACAGATTTTGTGTGGACATAAGTTTTGCAGGCTATAATTTTTCATCCTTAATCCTCAGTATCTAAGAACAGTGGGTAAAATTTGACCCAAACAGTACAGCTATAAATCTAGTTTCTGCTATCCCCTCTCACCAAGGCAACCGTTTCAAACGTTAACAAAGTCAATATGAAGGTTAAAAGAATCATGGCAGAAGTATTTAATCATATTATCCAAAGTTTATTGTACTTGGGAATGATTAGACTTAGAGTATCCATTAAGTACAGACTAAATGCAATCATGAACTTCCTCTTTGACTGCATGAGACCTTCAAAAATGCAGTGGTTGCTTTTAACCATAAATACTTTAGGCTGTAATTATGTACGAAGTAATGAGTAAATAGCTTGCATAAGCACTTTTACAAAGGGTAGAACAATTGGACCACAAGGTGGTGCCCAAGATATTTTAAATTCAGATCCTGGTGTCAGGTGAGCACTGAAAACCCAAGACTGGAAGATGAGTAGAATTAGAGCCAACAGATACTTGGAGCAGAAAATCCAATGTGTGTTTTAATGAAATGTATACATTCTTCTAAAATATCATCTTTCAATGATCATTATTACAGATTAAACATTTTAAAACTGCCCAAAGACTTTATGAAATCTTTTATTTTCTAGTTTTCTTCATATTATTCTTATTTGCCACCATGCCCTGGCCCAACTGTATTGCCATTAAAAGATCACAGAAGACCCTCTGCCTTGACACTTGCCACATACCTGTCCCTGCTCTGTGCTGAGTGAAGAACTTACTTGGCCACAGAGATTAGAGATAGATGGACTTCCCTTTCTTGTGTTTCAGATGCTACTTTTCTGTTTTTTGTTTGTTTTTCTTTTCTGGCGATTCTAAAATTTTTTTAAAAATATTTTAAAATTAAGACAGGATCTTGCTATGTTACCCAGCCTGGTCTTGAACTGGGCTCAAGCCATCCTCCCACCTTGGCCTCCCAAAGTGTTGGGATTACAGACATGAGCCACCAGGTCTAGTCCTGAAATCATTTTTTACAACGTTTATGGATGTGCCCTATGGATACTAGATTTAAGAAAATCTAGTATCATTAAAAATCAAAACTTCAAATAAAGCAATTAGGAAATGGGGATTTACATAACAAAACAGTTGTTGATAAAGTTGTTACTAAAGACCTCCTTTAAACTATCAAGCTCCCCAATATATTATTATATAAAATTGCATTTATGAAAATTAGATTTATATATTGCTTTGCAGGGACACCCACCATACACACTGAGCAGATGCCCAAAACCGTACTGTGAGTCTTGGTTTTCATTAAGAAGGGTACAACAAGGGCCTTTTCAAAGGGAAAGTTTAACAAGATAAACAAGTATTCTCTTCGGTAATAATCCTATGGGTTATTAACCTATAACTTAAAAAGAGAAAGAAAACAATAAATAAAGGTTTTTCAATAAGAATAAATGTTGTGAAAATAGGTACAAGGCAAGGTGTTTTTTATTTGCAATTTGTGTTGCTGACACCTGATTCCAGCCACTTGAGGTGACATAGCAGAGTTACAGCGTGAACTGACTGCTGCCTACGTGCCCTCACAATAGGTTTCCAGGCTGATAAAGCACTTCAAAGTTTTATCTTTGATCCTCAGATAGGATGCAAACTATTTGAAGTGTGGTAAAGGAAGATATTAACACACATTCAAGGAAAAAGACATTGACACCCAGCTGAAATATAGAAGTCCCATCATTACCTCAGGTTAATAATTTTTTTTTTTGACACAGAGTCTCCCGCTATTGCCTAGGCTGGAGCACAGTGGCGTGATCTCAGCTCACTGCAACCTCTGCCTCCCGGGTTCAAGCGATTCTTCTGCCTCAGTCTCCCGAGTAGCTGGGACTACAGGCACGCGCCACCACGGCCGGCTAATTTTTTGTATTTTCAGTAGAGACGGGCTTTCACCGTATTGGCCAGGCTGGTCTCCAACTCCTGACCTCATGATCGGCCCTCCTTGGCCTCCCAAAGTGCTGGGATTACAGGCATGAGCCACCGCTCCCGGCACCTCATGTTAATAATTTTAAGCTAACTGACAACTGTGAAGCTAAAAGAAGATGATTTTTAAAGTTAACATTAACTATTAACCAAGGTAGTATTCTTTTTTACCCAATAACAGGTGATGAATGAAATTAAAGCATTAGAATAATATTTTAGAGCTAGAAAGAACAAACTTTTCTATCAAAGATTTGACTTTTATAGAGATTGTCCATGTTCTACAAATTGGCTTAAATAAGATCTTAATTCTAGACAGTGCCAGAACCAGATCTCAAAATTTGCAGTTCAGTGTTTTTTTTCCATCACTCCATACCCATTTGAGTTGTCCAGGACAGACATTTCTTTCCATAAAGTATTTAATCAGCTATTGTTACAGCTCAGAGCAATATTATTTCTTTGTAGCTAGGTGACTTGCACACATTGTTTTTCAGCAATTGGAGTGGATACGGTTACATTTAATAACAAAACTAAGATTTCCAGACATAATATGCAGATACAGAGATCATTTTATTTCTAATCTGTGTTATGGTTAGAATAGTGGCCTGTTTTTAGTCTTGCTTATTTTTTTCTTCAACTTTTATTTTAATTCTGGGGTCCATGTGCAGGATATGCAGGTTTGTTACATAGGTAAACGTGTGCCATGGTGGTTTGCTGCACAGGTCATCCCATCACTTAGGTATTTTGCCCGGAATCCATTAGCTATTCTTCCTGATGCTCTCCCTCCCCTCCCCTCAATAGGCCCCAGCTTGTGTTGTTCCCCCACAGGAGTCCATGTGTTCTCATTCGGCTCCCACTTATAAGTAAGAACATGCAGTGTTTGGTTTTCTGTTCCTGCATTACTTTGCTGAGTATAATGGCTTCCAACTCCATTCACATCCCTGCAAAGGACATGATCTCATTCCTTTTTATGGCTGCATAGTATTCTATGGTACATATGTACCACATTTTCTTTATCCAATCTATCATTGATGGGCAGTTAGGTTGAGTCCATGTCTTTGCTATTGTGAACAGTGCTGCAGTGAATATACGCATGCATTTATCTTTTGATTTATATTCTTTTGGGTACATACCTCGTAATGGGATTGCTGGATCAAATGGTATTTCTGCCTCTAGGTGTCTTACTTATTAAGTACAACATTATGATAATTATTTTACACCTCCAAGATCATGTATAGAAACAATAGGAGGAATATAAATGATAATGAATAGGTTTTATTTATTTATTTATTTTGAGACAAGGTATCACTTTATCATCCAGGCTGTAGTGCAGTGGCGGGATCTCTGCTCTCTGCAACCTCCGCCTCCCAGGCTCAAATGATCCTCCCACATCAGCCTCCCATGTAGCTGAAACCACAGGCATGCACTACCACACCCGATTAATTTTTGTATTTTTGGTAGAGATGGGGTTTTGGTATGTTGCCCAGGTTGGTCTCAAACTCCTGAGCTCAAGCGATCCACCCACCTCAGCTTCTCAAACTGCTGGGATTACAGATGTGAGTCACTGTGCCCAGCTAAGAGTAAGCGTTTTTGCCTAGTAAAAACACAAACTGTTTTTTTCTCTGATCTCATCCCACAATAATCAACACAGAAGACTTCTGGGACCAATCTCTCACATACCAGCAAACAATCAATTCTGTAGTGGACACCATCTGGGTATCCTCCAATTCAATTCTGGTAGTACCTGGAGATAGCATCAAATCCCTCAACCTCAGATTGAGGGCTCAGTCACACAAGACTGCCCCCCACTTTCAATGTCAACCACAAGCCCCAGGTTGCTTCACCTGTGTTTCTATGACTTGGGGTTCCACCACTTCCTCCTTGAGTTTGGTTAATTTGCTAGCGTGGCTCACAGAACTCAGTTTACAGGTTCATTATAAAGAATATTACAAAGGATACAAATGAAAGGGTGTGAAGGGGGTGCAGGTATGACGGAAGGGGCAGAGCTTTCATGCATTTCCAGGGTGAGTCACCCTCCATGTATTTGTTTGGCTATCCTGGAACTCTCTGAACCCAGTCCTTTGGGTTTTTATGGAGGATTCATTATGTGGGCGTGATTGATTAAACCCTTGGCCAATGATGACCAACTCAACCTTCAGCCCCTCTTCCCTCCCTGGAGATTGGGGGATGGCGCTGAGAGTACCAGCCCTCTAATCCTGCCTTGATCTTTCAGGTGACCAGTCCTGAAGCTGCCTAGGGGCTGCCAGCCATCAGTCAACTCATTAGCATAAAAAGACACATCACTTTGGAGAATCTAAGGATTTTACGAATTATATGCCAAGAGATGGTATATAAACCAAATATATGTTAATATTTAACAGTATCACAATTTGAAATTTAGGAAAATAGAGAGTAAAGAAAGCCTGTTTTGAACAAACTAATAGTAGTTTTGTTAGAATTTGGATAAATGTTTTCCCTGCTTTTCTCTTTCCCCTCTATTTTTTCTGCATTATTTTATGTATATGAAAGGTATACAATTAAAAAAAAAAAACAAAACGAAGTCCCTTAGAAACATTTACTCTGAGGCTGCTTTACATCCAAGGAGAAGTAGAAGAAATTTACTCACACTCAGTAGAGATTTCCAAATATTAAATCTTGAGGGTTTTTTTTTTCCATTTCTTATTCATTAGCAGAACAGCTGAATCATGATGGTTGAGATAACTGATAAAATTTCTATTGCTTTTTTTGTCTCCTTGGAAGGAAGGTGCTTTGTAAGGTATTATTTGTTTATGTTTAAGAACTTATTTATTTCTCCTCTTAGTAGTTTATTGTCTAACCAAGTGCTTTTAGATATCTTTCTTTTTGTTTTTTGAGACAGAGTCTTGCTCTGTCACCCAGGCTGGAGTGCAGTGGTGCTATCACAGCTCAGTGCAGCCTTGACCTCTCAGGGCTCAAGCGTTCCTCCCATCTCAGCCTCCCTAGTAGCTGGGACTACAGACATGCACCACCATGCCTGGCTAATTTTTGTGTATTTTGTAGAGGTGGGGTTTCACTGTGTGCTCAGGCTGGTCTCGAACTCCGAGGCTCAAGCGATCCACCCGCCTCGACCTGCCAAAGTGCTGGGATTACAGGAATGAGCCACCATGCCTGGTCATGGGTATATCTTTGATCATTCCCACAGTATGCCAAAAGCAATGACTGACATTATTGATGAGATTAATAAGTAAAGAAAGTTGGCATATAAGAAATAATAAACCTTAAGACATGAGAGAGTAAAAGTCCCCCTGAAGTTTGAATTCCGAGGTCTACATATTCCTGGTGTCAGTGCTCCCACCAGATCTGACTAGATGGTTTGATGATCCTAGTTGGCTCAGGATCACATTGCCAGGCCACCAGTATTACTGAAAACACAGGACAGTTAGATGTAATAAAAACAAATGTTTTGACAGCCTTCTGCATGCTGAATATGCTATGTTCTTGTCTTTCAAGAGACATGGCAACTGCTTGAAACACAGAGATGTGTCAAAACTTTCATATTTACTTTAGGATTCAGAGCTCCCCCAGGAATGGCAAGTTGCATATCCTGTAATGAAATTTTATCTTGTGTAAGGCACAAACGCCCTGAATATTCATTCCTTTTGTTTTCTTTTCTGCAAAGAGACAAGCACAGAGACCCAGAGGAAAGCTTGGCCTGGAGCCAGCACAGGAGTCAGATGTGATGTGTGGTTTGGATTTTTAGAGAGCGTTTCCAGCATCTGCTTGCTTGGTTGACCAATAGTGTTGGGCAACAATCAGTAAGGCCGAGTTGCCAGGACTTCTCTAGGGCAGTGCAGAGGAAGGAATTTAAGGGACGGAGAGATTAAAATGCTGAAATAGGTTTATCGTGCTGACTGGCAGCCTCCTTGTCCCCAAATCCAGAGGGCATCCCCTTCTCTAAGATGCTGAGAAATGCACCGATGAGGGAAGACCCACAACCTTGAAGAGCTCTGTAGTCACTGTTCTCAGGCCTGGTATTGGTGGAAGATGTTGCCATTGAAATGTGCTCCCTGATTTTAGAGGACAATGAAATCCCAGGGACAGTAAAACCACCAAAGGCCAGGTGGGCAAATGATTTTCATGGGTAGTTAGAACTAAGCAGTAATCTGAGTGTTTTGTACCACAAGATTTTTGGGGTGACTAGTTTGTCACTGTATCCTTAGGAATGAAATAGGTGGGCAGCCTAGCTTGATCTACTTAATAGCAATCATTTAAGTTTTGTTCCAGTTATCTATCATTTCAAAACTTAGGAGGTTGAAACAATGATTAATTGTAATTTCAGACATTCTGTGGGTGGTTTGTTTTCTTTTTTATTTGGTAGAACATGCATAACATAAACTGACTATTGTAATATTTTGACGTCTACAGTTTTACAGATCATGCATTTCTTTGAGGTTTTTGTCATTCTAGTCAAAGGGAGACCATTTGACATTTTATGAATGGTTGTATGAAAACATTTAAAACTTTTGAGAGAATACAGTGTACCAGAGAGACTACTATTATGACTATTAGGAAGATAATACCAAGAGTTTGAAGTATGTTCCTTAGCCAAGATCCCCATAAACAAAACCAACTAAAATTAAATGATCAAAGAATGAGCTAAATACAAAGTCTACTTGTTTTAACCAAGCAGTCTGTTTGTTAATACCTTAGAACTATGTCTCTATAATACCTGATGTATTTATCTATGTGTAACCAGAAGTGTCAGTAACTGTGCAGATACTTTTCTGTTTAGCCAGCAAGTAATCTAGAGCAATTCTATTATTTACCACCATTTTAGTATGAGAATTTAAAGAAGTCTGTTGTGTAACCACAGTCTTTGCAGAAGAATCTATTATACAGCCTTGTAGAAATTTATGAGGGATACATTTTTAACTTTTGTCTCATTTACTCTAAACCATGGAAGAAAAGACCTAACAAATCATGCCCATCCAGAAGAGTGAAGGCCTCCTGGCAATGTTCTTATAGACAAAGGTTAAGAGGAGTGGACCAATGTTTTGTTTTTGTCTGATCATGAAGTAATGAAAGTACCATTAAATTTTTTCCCCCACATCGGCCCTTTGTCTTTCCTTTATTAAGGCATAAAGTTGTCCATGTATAAAGTTGACTGTAAAATCTTTCACAAATAAAAGTATACCACATGAGTGTATACAAGACCCCTTTTCTTGTTTTATTGTTTATAGAGGCATATGTAAGGAAAAAATTAAGAGATAAGAGTGTCTTGATAGTAGAAAAGTTTTGTTGTAGTGTGGGTGGCAAGAGTAGTCTTTCTCTGATTTTGTTTTCCAAAAGACCCAATCTCAGGGTTGTAAATCATGAAGAGTTTGGTTATCCTCAGTCGGTGGGCTATGAAAAGTTTTTTTTTTGTTTTTTTTAACCTGGTGAAAATATACTCTGGCATAATGTATTAAAGCCTTACCGGGCTGGGTAGGGTGGCTCACACCTGTAACCTCAGCACTTTGGGAAGCTGAGGCAGGAGGCTGAGGTGGGAGGATTGCTTGAGGCCAGGAGTTCAAGACCAATCTGGGCAACAAGAGTGAGACCCAATTTCTACAAAAAATAAAAAAAATTAGTCAGGGGTGGTGGTGTGTGCCTGTGGTCTCAGCTTCTTGGGAGGCTGAGGTGGGAGGATCACTCAAGCCCAGGAGGTTGAGACTGCAGTGAGACATGATTCCACCACTGCATTCCAGCCTGGGTGACCGAGAGAGAACCTGTCTCAAAAAAAAAAAAAAAAAAAAAAAAAAAAGCCTGTAGCATTTAGTCATATAGAGTTTAGGAGCAGAAGATACATGAGTTTCTGTTATTAGAAGCATAGGCCTTCAAGTGATTATTTCATAAGAGGCCAAGTTATATTTTCCATGAGAAGAGGATCTGATTGTCATTAATCTGTAAAACCTTTGATCAAGGCAATCCGGTCAATTAAGTTAGCTTTGGCTAATGCAATTGTATCTGTAGTGACTTATTTAACTGTTTTATAACGTGTCTAGTGAAACAAGTACCTTTATTGGTGGAGATTTTTCTAGGAATGTCCCATAAAGAAAAAATATGTCCTAATAACCTTTTAGTTACTATTATAGCATCAGTTTTCTTGCATGGGAAAGCTTTCATACTACCAGAAAACAGGCATTGAAAATGACAGTTGAATGAAATCTCTCTATAAATCTTTAGTTGGCCTATCAGATAGCAGAATATACCTAAAGTTTTTATTATCTTTCTAGAATTATAGGTTTAACAAACCAAACATTGATATTAAGACCGTTTTAGTAATCTACAACAGTCACTAAAATTATGTATATAATTTGGATAGTTTTATCTTTTTTTATAATGAGTCATGGATATAGAGCTTTATATAATGGAAGTTTTAAGGACTCAGGAAGAACCAGGTAGCCATCCAGGTTCTCCATGAGTCTACGCTTAACATTTGATTTATATCCTCTTAACTACGAATTTTGTTTCTCTAATTTAGGTGCAAAGCACTGTTTATTAGATAAGTTATCATAAGTAATTTGACTTGAACAATGGAGTTCATTTAAACTGCATATCTAAACAATTTTAGTACTGGCTGATGTAGCATGAAAATCTGGCAAAGTATTTTCTTGGTATTCAATTAATTTTTGTCTTGCTTGTGTTAGCAGTTTCATAAACCAGTCAACCCCTTTGTTAGAGTTCTGGGAATTTCTTACCCAGTCTAAATGATACGATTCTAGTCATGACAACTCTGTATTTAAGAATTTTTGTCAGAGTCCTTTTTATCTTTTTCATGAACTTCCTTGAAGGCACAGTACTTTAGGAGTTTATTTGCTTGTAAAGAGCTTTTAGAAACTCTATCAGAATTAAGCCATTAACTGTGAACATGATTAAGGTTGCAATTGACAAGAAAATTTAGTTATTTCTAAGGACATAATAACCATAATTATGACTGATAAAATATACCAAGACATGTCAGAATTTTAGGACTATTATACAATTTTCAAACATATATTAAAATAATATATTCATAAAAATATAACTCAAAGAAAGTTAACTGCAGATCATTTCTTATTTGACAATGCTTTTCATATAATCTAACATATTAGGCTTGGCATGGTGGCTTATGCCTGTAATCCTAGCACTTTGGGAGACCGAGGCCGGTGGATTGCTTGAGCCCAGGAGTTCAAGATCAGCCTGGGCAACAGAGCAGGACCCCATCTTTACAAAAAACACAAAAAAATTAGCTAGGTAGGGTGGTGTGCACCTGTAATCCCAGCTACCTGGGAGGCTGAGGTAGGAGGATTGCATGAGTCTGGGAAGTTGAGGCTGCAGTGAGCTGTGACTGTGCCACTGCACTCTAGCCTGGGCAACAGAGTGAGAGCCTGTTTCGAAAAAAATTAAAATATATTAAGTAGGCATGTTTATTTGTCTTTTGGATGCTGTATGGGCCCTCTGTAGCATCCCAAATTTAGTTTGAGGTTTAAAGAGAGTTAATTTTGAATTTTAAATTTGATTTTGGGAAGGCCGTCAAATATGTCAAAGGTTTAAAACATTTAATCAAAGTATGACCACAGGTCACTGTAAAATAATAGCCATTTGTTAGTGATAATTAAAAGGTTTTAAAAAGCAAAAACTTTTACTCTTTGATTAGAGGAGACCCAGTCTTCCCAAAGATTAAAATATCTAATAAAGACAGCATTAGACAGAATCTATCTCTCCTTTTCTCCTCTTGCTGTCTCATTTTTTTTGAGATGTCTCTAAAAGTGAACAAAAATTTTTTATTATCTCTTATTATTACTTTACAAAAATCTTGTTTAAAAGAGAAAACCAAAGTTTGCTTTTGTATTAATGAATTATCAATATTAAAGCTGATTTTAATAAAACCTTATAAACAAACTAATCTCAGTCAGCTTTTGACCATGCAGATTTCATAAATGTTTTATAATCTCTTACAAAATTTTAAAAATTCTTTTTCTTCCTGACTTTTAATATTATTTAGTTTTATTTATATCTTTTAAAATTCTTTTATCGTAAAATAATATTTAAGTAACTTCTAAACTGGACAAAGTAATTTTTTCTCAACAGCTATGTATTTGTATTCTTTTACAGCTTTTTTTTAATCAAAGCATGTCTTTTTTGTTAGTACACTTTGTATATAGAATTCTCTTATATATGTAGTTTTAATTACATATGTTAACTATAATTTTAACTCTTAGTCACCCTAATTTTCAGTAAAAGTCTAAAAAGTAATTCTGAACTGTTTTATATCAGTATTTATAGATGAAAACCATTTTATAATTTTTACAAAGATATGTTTGCTCAAATTTTTGTTCATTAACAGATCTACATATATTTAGCTTTTTTATATCACAGAAAAATAAGATGCCAAATTATATAAACTTAAATTTATGTTTAATAATTAATGTTTTAGTATTTTAACATACTTGTAAAAAAACTCAGACATTTTATGATTATCTGGTACTTAATTTAAAATAATATGACTTTAAGATTTAAATTACTGAAAAGAATATTAATACTATGATACAAGTACCCTTTCTAATGTTTTTCCCAGTCATCCTGGGTCTCAAGTAGCCACATGACACCTAGGATGGCTATAAGGGGAGGTCCCATCTGGGTCCTAAATTTACATACTAGGTATAGAATTCAGGACAGAAGACAGCTATGAAGATGATGACTGGAGCATTCAGCCCTTCACAGAATGGCCAGGAGGCAAAGCTGGGCCAGGGAGAAAGGGGTCATTTTGAGCTTGACTGTGCCCTGTAGGTGGTGATATAGACACTGAGGACATGTCCCCATATGTTACCAAGGTCACCTGTCTGGACCCCAGAATCCAGAGGCTCGGAAAACAAAAACATAAGCTCACAGTCAAATCAAGCAAATATCAAAAACATAACAGAAGCAGAAGTTTTATGACCTTAAAGCTTGAAGCAGAGATAGCATAAACCTGTCTGACCAGTAGACTCAGGCATAAATATCTATATTATCTTTAAGTGACAATTCTGAAGTCATTTTTTTATTTTATTTTACCAACAATTTAAAAACTAGCTTTCTTCACCAAATAGTATCACATACACATATAGACATATAGACACAAGCAGGTCTTAAAGCTTCCATGAAGAATTCTCATTTGTCAGCTTTCAAATAGTTTTTCTTTTCCCCATTCATACTATCAGTCTTAGAACTATCTGTTTTATTGCTCTAAGTAGTTGTTAGCTACTCCACAATCTGCCTCCTAAAGGGATGACTCTTAGGTGAAACAAGGTAGAAAATTCTCAAAAGCACAGAGCTGAGATTTTAGGCCTAAATATTGTACTATCAGTTGCTCAAACCAAGGGAAAAGATTGTACATAAAGATCCGGTTAAGGCAGCATGGCCTGGAAAAGCACCTTAAACAAAGGCAAGACAATGTATGTACATTTAAAACAACAGTAAGAGTTTCTAGTGACCCAGTCCTCCCTCTCAGACACCCTTTCAAATGGAAATTTCTTTTAGAGATATAAATTTCTCCTATAAAAGTGTTTTGGGGCCAGGCGCGGCGTCTCACATCTGTAATCCCAGCACTTTGGGAGGCCGAGGCGCGCGGATCATGAGGTCAGGAGATCGAGACCATCCTGGCTAACATGGTGAAACCCCGTCTCTACTAAAAATAGAAAAAATTAGCCAGGTGTGGTGGTGGGCACCTGTAGTCCCAGCTACTCGGGAGGCTGAGGCAGGAGAATGGCGTGAACCCGGGAGGTGATGGTTGCAGTGAGCTGAGATCGCGCCACTGCACTCCAGACTGGGCAACAGAGTGAGACTCCATCTCTGAAAAAAAAAAAGTGTTTTAAGATAGCCAGCTAAATGCCAGAAAAGTATATTTTAGAGACTGTTTTAGTTTAATAGGTGGTCTTCTTAACTTAGCTACTTTTTCTTAGCTAAAACTACTGAGTTCAGGATGGAGCTCATTAAGAAACACAGCAATTAAAGCATTCTCTATACCTGGACTTAGCATGGATAGCTTTGAAAAAGAATCAAGGCCATTTAATCTGAGGGCCTACTTTTTATAAACACTGTATCCAGGATAGCTTTCTTTTTGCCTTTGGTTGGGATATGTGTAAGGAAAATAAATCTTAGGACCCCAAATCACTGAGCCAAGGGAAAAGTCAAGCTGGGACCTATGTCAGGCACCCTGCCTCCCATTTCATTCCTAAATAAGATAGCTACAAAGATAAAAAGTGACATACCTCCCTCACAATTTGCCCACAAGGAAATTCTTGGTGGACAACGGAAAGATAGAACTCCAAGTCTCCTTCTGAGGCTCACCTTAGACAAATGCATATCTGATTGCTTCCTCTGCCCTATTGTTTATGTAAAAATGAAGATTCACTGAGCCAGACTATATTTTGTATCCAGTGGAAGGCTCATCAAGGACTCAAAATAATGCAACCTTTTGTTTTATGACCTGGAAGCCCCCACCTCAAGTTGTTCCGCCTTACCAGACCAAACCAATGTACATCTTACACATATAGACTGATGTCTCATGTCTCCCTAAAATGTATAAAAGCAAGCTGTAACCCAACCACCTTGGGCACATGTCAGGAACCCCTGAGGTTGTGTCATGGTCACGCGCTTAATCTTGGCAAAATAAACTCTCTAAATTGATTGAGACCTGTCTCAGATATTTGGGGTTCACAAATAGTAACTAAGCCAAAAAGTTGGTAAATTTTCTTACCAATTAGTCAATTTTTTTTATTTTTATTTTTATTTTTTAGATAGAGTCTTGCCCTGTCACCCAGGGAGTCACCTGGAGTGCAATGGTGTGATCTTGGCTCACTGCAACCTCTGTCTCCTGGGTTCAAGCGATCCTCCTGCCTCAGCCTCCCAAGCAGCTGGGATTATAGGTGTGCACCACCACACTCAGCTAATTTTTTTTTTTTTTTAAGTAGCGATGGGGTGTCCCCATATTGGCCAGGCTCGTGTTGAACTCGACCTCAAGTTACCACCTGCCTTGGCCTCCCAGAGTGCTAGGATAACAGGGGTCAGCCACTGTTTCTGGTCAGTCACTTAAGCTTTTTATTTGCCTTTTATAAAGAATTTTTTGTTTGCTTGTTTGTTTGTTTTGAGATGTAGTCTCACTCTGTTCCCCAGACTGGAGTGCAGTGGAGCGATCTCAGTTCACTGCAACCTTCACCTCCTGGGTTCGTGATTCTCCTGCCTCAGCCTCCCAAGTAGCTGAGACTGCAGGCACAAGCCACCATGTCCACCTAATTTTTTGTGTTTTTACTAGAGATGGGGTTTCACCATGTAGGCCAGGCTGGTCTTGAACTCCTGACCTCAAGTGATCTGCCCACCTTGGCCTCCCAAAATGCTGGCATTATAGGCATGAGCCACCACACCTGGCCAAGAGTTTTTTTTTTTTTAATGAGGGAATAAAAGTATTGAAATCTTTTTAGAAGTTTCTGCACATCGGTAGGCATCCCTGGAAGAGCCTTCTTTAGGAGCCCTCATTTTAAAATGCACTTTGTGTGTGTGTGAAATCTGCTACAATAACACACATTTAAAAGTACAGTATTATTTATTTGGAATGTTCCACTGTAATTTTAAATTACCTTTAGTAAGATTTTGCTATTTCTGTAAGCATTTGCTGCTTTGGGGGCTCTTGGGGGCCTAATTCCGACACATGTAAGTGTAGGTGTAGCCAAAAGGTGGTGTATTCAATTCTGCAGAAATTAAGCAATTAAGCATCTCATTTTTACATTGAATGCCTTTGGCTCTCAGATCCCCTTGATTGACTTAGCTAATGATTTTTTTCCCCTGCCTAGGTATGTAAGAAAAAGAAACAAAGGGGCTAAAATGCAAAAGTCCCTGCAAATTTCTCACAGCTGGAGTTCACACTCCCTGCAGTATTGCCATTTACTGCCAGTTTCTGCCTGACCTAGTCAGACATCTGAGGCCTCTAACTGGATCCAAGTAAGTTAATTATTAGATCCAATCTGATCCTGGACCCAGTCCAGTTTCTGTCATGGCTTCCAAACCCAGTTTGGATCAAAAATTTGCTCAAAGGCCGGGCGCGGTGGGTCACGCCTATAATCCCAGCACTTCGGGAGGCCGAGACGGGCAGATCACCTGAGGTCAGGAGTTCGAGACCAGCCTGGCCAACATGGTGAAACCCCGTCTCTACTAAAAATACAAAAAATTAGCCGGGCACGATGGCACATGCCTGTAATGCCAGCTACTCAGGAGGCTGAGGCAGGAGAATTGCTTGAACCCAGGAGGCGGAGGTTGCAGTGAGTCGAGATTGCACCATTGAACTTCAGCTTGGACGAGAAAAGCAAAACTCTATTTCAAAAAACAAAAAAAAAGAAATTTTTTGCTCAAACTCAGATAACTCAAAACACAAATTTCTGGAACTTCAGAATCTGAGAGAGAATTCACCCATGATCCCCAGCTGCTGTGAGAGAGCAATGGATTCAATGGCCAGGGGGTTACTTTACTTGGTCACTTGATGCTCTTGTTGGTCACTGGAGCCTCTACTTCAGATTCCACTTCTGACACTGTCTGTTAAAGAAATACTTTAGAGATATTAAATTTAATAGAGTTTAACTGAGCAAAGAATGATTCATGAATTGGGTTGCCCCCTGAACCAGAAGAGCTTCAGAGGGACTCTGGCACTACTTTGTGGTCAGTGAGGATTTATGGACAGAAAAAGGAAAGTGATGTACAGAAAATGGGTGAGATGCGGAAACAGCTAGATTGATTACAGCTTGGCATCTGCCTTATTTGAACAGTTAACTGCCTATGATTGGCTGGAACTCAGTGATTGGTACAAGGGTAGGTTACGGTCTGTTTACATAGCCACATCTCATTAGGTTACAGTTCATTATGTATGGAGAAACCTTTAGGCCAAACTTACAAGGAGGCGGCTTTAGGCTGAACTTAATTTTGCATTATTTTACGTGTTTTTTGGTTTAATTCCTTTCTAGGTATTTTATCCTTTTTGTTGCTATTGTAAATGGGTTTTCTCTATCATCTTATTAGCTAACTAGTTATCGTTTGTTTATATGAAAGCTAATAATTTGTATATGTTAGCATTATAGCCTATTACTTTACTGAATTATTTTATTGTTTGAGTTAGTTATATCATTGACTATCAAGAATTTTACTGGTACATGATCAAATCATCTGCAAATAGAAATGGTTTAGCTTCTTTTCAATTCTTATCTGTACAATCTGTTATTTCTTCCTATTACGTAGTTAATTAATATCTCCAGTATGCTGTTGAACGTGGTGGTGATAATGGGCATCCTTGCCTCGTTTCTTATCCTATTAGAAATGCTTCTAGTGCTTTAATGTTTTTCCATTAAGCAAGACGCTGCCTTTGGGACCTTTAGGACATATATACATACATATATATATATATATATATACATATATATATATATATATGTATATATATACACATACACACACATATATTAACAAAATATATATATATACATATATATACATATATATATACATATATATATACATATGTATATATATATATATATATAGTGTGTGTGTGTGTGTGTGTGTGTGTGTGTGTGTGTGTGTGTGTGTATAAAATACCCAAAGCAGAATGGTCTCGCAAGATGGCCGAATAGGAACAGCTCCGGTCTACAGCTCCCAGCGTGAGCGACACAGAAGATGGGTGATTTCTGCATTTCCATCTGAGCTTTGAAGAGAGCAGTGGTTCTCCCAGCACGCAGCTGGAGATCTGAGAACGGGCAGACTGCCTCCTCAAGTGGGTCCCTGACCCCTGACCCCCGAGCAGCCTAACTGGGAGGCACCCCCCAGCAGGGGCAGACTGACACCTCACACGGCCGGGTACTCCAGCAGACCTGCAGCTGAGGGTCTTGTCTGTTAGAAAGAAAACTAGCAAACAGAAAGGACATCCACACCAAAAACCCATCTGTACATCACCATCATCAAAGACCAAAAGTAGATAAAACCACAAAGATGGAGAAAAACCAGAGCAGAAAAACTGGAAACTCTAAAAAGCAGAGTGCCTCTCCTCCTCCAAAGGAATGCAGTTCCTCACCAGCAACGGAACAAAGCTGGACAGAGAATGACTTTGACAAGCTGAGAGAAGAAGGCTTCAGACAATCAAATTACTCCGAGCTATGGGAAGACATTCAAACCAAAGGCAAAGAAGTTGAAAACTTTGAAAAAAATTTAGAAGAATATATAACTAGAATCACCAATACAGAGAAGTGCTTAAAGGAGCTGATGGAGCTGAAAACCAAGGCTCGAGAACTACATGAAGAATGCAGAAGCCTCAGGAGCTGATGTGATCAACTGGAAGAAAGGGTATAAGTGATGGAAGATGAAATGAATAAAATGAAGGGAGAAGGGAAGTTTAGAGAAAAAAGAATAAAAAGAAACGAGCAAAGCGTCCAAGAAATATGGGACTATGTGAAAAGACCAAATCTACGTCTGATTGGTGTACCTGAAAGTGACGGGGAGAATGGAACCAAGTTGGAAAACACTCTGCAGGGTATTATCCAGGAGAACTTCCCCAATCTAGCAAGGCAGGCCAACATTCAGATTCAGGAAATACAGAGAACGCCACAAAGATACTCCTCGAGAAGAGCAACACCAAGACACATAATTGTCAGATTCACCAAAGTTGAAATGAAGGAAAAAATGTTAAGGGCAGCCAGAGAGAAAGGTCGGGTTACCCTCAAAGGGAAGCCCATCAGACTAACAGCAGATCTCTCGGCAGAAACTCTACAAGCCAGAAGAGAGTGGGGGCCAATATTCAACATTCTTAAAGAAAAGAATTTTCAACCCAGAATTTCATATCCAGCCAAACTAAACTTCATAAGTAAAGGAGAAATAAAATACTTTACAGACAAGCAAATACTGAGAGATTTTGTCACCACCAGGCCTGCCCTAAAAGAGCTCCTGAAGGAAGCACTAAACATGGAAAGGAACAACCGGTACCAGCCGCTGCAAAATCATGCCAAAATGTAAAGACCATCGAGACTAGGAAGAAACTGCATCAACTAACAAGCAAAACAACCAGCTAACATCATAATGACAGGATCAAATTCACACATAACAATATTAACTTTAAGTGTCAATGGACTAAATGCTCCAATTAAAAGACACAGACTGTCAAATTGGATAAAGAGTCAAGACCCATCAGTGTGCTGTATTCAGGAAACCCATCTCATGGGCAGAGACACACATAGGCTCAAAATAAAAGGATGGAGGAAGATCTACCAAGAAAATGGAAAACAAAAAAAGGAAGGGGTTGCAATCCTAGTCTCTGATAAAACAGACTTTAAACCAACAAAGATCAAAAGAGACAAAGAAGGCCATTACTTAATGGTAAAGGGATCAATTCAACAAGAAGAGCTAACTATCCTAAATATATATGCACCCAATACAGGAGCACCCAGATTCATAAAGCAAGTCCTGAGTGACCTATAAGGAGACTTAGACTCCCACACATTAATAATGGGAGACTTTAACACCCCACTGTCAACATTAGACAGATCAACGAGACAGAAAGTCAACAAGGATACCCAGGAATTGAACTCAGCTCTGCACCAAGCAGACCTAATAGACATCTACAGAACTCTCCACCCCAAATCAACAGAATATACATTTTTTTCAGCACCACACCACACCTATTCCAAAATTGACCACATAGTTGGAAGTAAAGCTCTCCTCAGCAAATGTAAAAGAACAGAAATTATAACAAACTATCTCTCAGACCACAGTGCAATCAAACTGGAACTCAGGATTAAGAATCTCACTCAAAACCACTCAACTACATGGAAACTGAACAACCTGCTCCTGAATGACTACTGGGTACATAACGAAATGAAGGCAGAAATAAAGATGTTCTTTGAAACCAACGAGAACAAAGACACAACATACCAGAATCTCTGGGACACATTCAAAGCAGTGTGTAGAGGGAAATTTATAGCACTAAATGCCCACAAGAGAAAGCAGGAAAGATCCAAAATTGACACCCTAACATCACAATTAAAAGAACTAGAAAAGCAAGAGCAAACATATTCAAAAGCTAGCAGAAGGCAAGAAATAACTAAGATCAGAGCAGAACTGAAGGAAATAGAGACACAAAAAACCCTTCAAAAAATTAACGAATCCAGGAGCTGGTTTTTTGAAAGGATCAACAAAATTGATAGACCGCTAGCAAGACTAATAAAGAAAAAAAGAGAGAAGAATCAAATAGGAGCAATAAAAAATGATAAAGGGGATATCACCACCAATTCCACAGAAATACAAACTACCATAAGAGAATACTACAAACACCTCTATGCAAATAAACTAGAAAATCTAGAAGAAATGGATAAATTCCTTGACATATACACTCTCCCAGGACTAAACCAGGAAGAAGTTGAATCTCTGAATAGACCAATAATAGGAGCTGAAATTGTGGCAATAATCAATAGCTTACCAACCAAAAAGAGTCCAGGACCAGATGGATTCACAGCCAAATTCTACCACAGGTACAAGGAGGAACTGGTACCATTCCTTTTGAAACTATTCCACTCAATAGAAAAAGAGTAAATCCTCCCTAACTCATTTTATGAGGCCAGCATCATCCTGATACCAAAGCCGGGCAGAGACACAACCAAAAAAGAGAATTTTAGACCAATATCCTTGATGAACATTGATGCAAAAATCCTCAATAAAATACTGGCAAACTGAATCCAGCAGCACATCAAAAAGCTTATCCACCATGATCAAGTGGGCTTCATCCCTGGGATGCAAGCCTGGTTCAATATACGCAAATCAATAAATGTAATCCAGCATATAAACAGAACCAAAGATAAAAACCACATGATTATCTCAACAGATGCAGAAAAGGCCTTTGACAAAATTCAACAACCCTTCATGCTAAAAACTCTCAATAAATTAGGTATTGATGGGACATATCTCAAAATAATAAGAGCTATCTATGACAAACCCACAGCCAATATCATACTGAATGGGCAAAAACTGGAAGCATTCCCTTTGAAAACTGGCACAAGACAGGGATGCCCTCTCTCACCACTCCTATTCAACATAGTGTTGGAAGTTCTGGCCAGGGCAATGAGGCAGGAGAAGGAAATAAAGGGCATTCAATTAGGAAAAGAGGAAGTCAAATTGTACCTGTTTGCAGACGACATGATTGTATATCTAGAAAACCCCATTGTCTCAGCCCAAAATCTCCTTAAGCTGATAAGCAACTTCAGCAAAGTCTCAGGATACAAAATCAATGTACAAAAATCACAAGCATTCTTATACACCAACAGACAAACAGAGAGCCAAATCATGAGTGAACTCCCATTCACAATTGCTTCAAAGAGAATAAAATACCTAGAAATCCAACTTACAAGGGATGTGAAGGACCTCTTCAAGGAGAACTAAAAACCACTGCTCAAGGAAATAAAAGAGGATACAAACAAATGGAAGAACATTCCATGCTCATGGGTAGGAAGAATCAATATCGTGAAAATGGCCATACTGCCCAAGGTAATTTACAGATTCAGTGCCATCCCCATCAAGCTACCAATGACTTTCTTCACAGAATTGGAAAAAACTACTTTAAAGTTCATATGGAACCAAAAAAGAGCCCGCATCGCCAAGTCAATCCTAAGCCAAAAGAACAAAGCTGGAGGCGTCACACTACTTGACTTCAAACTATACTACAAGGCTACAATAACCAAAAAAGCATGGTACTGGTACCAAAACAGAGATATAGATCAATGGAACAGAACAGAGCCCTCAGAAATAACGCCGCATATCTACAACTATCTGATCTGTGACAAACCTGACAAAAACAAGCAATGGGGAAAGGATTCCCTATTTAATAAATGGTGCTGGGAAAACTGGCTAGCCATATGTAGAAAGCTGAAACTGGATCCTTTCCTTACACCTTATACAAAAATTAATTCAAGATGGGTTAAAGACTTAAACGTTAGACCTAAAACCATAAAAACCCTAGAAGAAAACCTAGGCATTACCATTCAGGACATAGGCATGGGCAAGGACTTCATGTCTAAAACACCAAAAGCAATGGCAACAAAAGCCAAAATTGACAAATGGGATCTAATTAAACTAAAGAGCTTCTGCACAGCAAAAGAAACTACCATCAGAGTGAACAGGCAACCTACAAAATGGGAGAAAATTTTCACAACCTACTCATCTGACAAAGGGCTAATATCCAGAATCTACAATGAACTCAAACAAATTTACAAGAAAAAAACAAACAACCCCATCAAAAAGTGGGCAAAGGACATGAACAGACACTTCTCAAAAGAAGACATTTATGCAGCCAAAAAACACATGAAAAAATGCTCACCATCACTGGCCATCAGAGAAATGCAAATCAAAACCACAATGAGATACCATTTCACACCAGTTAGAATGGCAATCATTAAAAAGTCAGGAAATAACAGGTGCTGGAGAGGATATGGAGAAATAGGAACACTTTTACACTGTTGGTGGGACTGTAAACTAGTTCAACCATTGTGGAAGTCAGTGTGGCGATTCCTCAGGGATCTAGAACTAGAAATACCATTTGACCCAGCCATCCCATTACTGGGTATATACCCAAAGGACTATAAATCATGCTGCTATAAAGACACATGCACATGTATGTTTATTGCGGCATTATTCACAATAGCAAAGACTTGGAACCAACCCACACGTCCAACAATGATAGACTGGATTAAGAAAATGTGGCACATATACACCATGGAATACTATTCAGCCATACAAAATGATGAGTTCATGTCCTTTGTAGGGACATGCATGAAATTGGAAATCATCATTCTCAGTAAACTATCGCAAGAACAAAAAACCAAAAACCGCATATTCTCACTCATGGGTGGGAGTTGAACAATGAGAACACATGGACACAGGAAGGGGAACATCACACTCTGGGGACTGTTGTAGGGTGGGGGGAGGGGGGAGGGATAGCATTGGGAGATATACCTAATGCTAGATGACGAGTTAGTGGGTGCAGCGCACCACCATGGCACATGCATACATATGTAACTAACCTGCACATTGTGCACATGTACCCTAAAACTTAAAGTATAATAATAATAAATAAATAAATAAATAAAATAAAATAAAATAAAATAAAATAAAATAAAATAAAATAAAATACCCAAAGCTGGAGTTTGCATCTCCTGCAATGTTGCCATATACTGCCAGGGTCTGCCTGACCTAGTCGGATATCTGAGTCTGACTATATATATATAAAGGTATCGATTAATTTCTTTTTTCTTCCTTTTTTTTTTAACCAGGAATGGATGATGAATGTTGTGATATTTTAAGGTACATATTTGGTGTTTGACCCATTTCCTGGCATACAACTTCTAAAATTCTTGGAATTTCCAAAGTGATGTGTCTTTTTTATGCTATTGGGTTGACTGATGGCAGGCAACTCCTAGGTAGCTTCAGGTGGGGGCTGGTCACCAAAAAGACCAATGCAGGATTAGAGAGTTGGGATTTTCAGCCCCACTGCCCAATCTCCAGGGAGGGGAGATGCTGAAGGTTGAGTTGATCACCAGTGGCCAGTGGTTTAATCAATCATGCCTATGTAATAAAGCCTCCATAAAACTCCAAAGGGACTGGGTTCAGATATCTTGTGGATAGCTGAATATGTGGCGGTTTCAGTGCCCAGGGAAGGCATGGAAGCTCTGCTCCCCTTGCCATTCTGTAATTCTTTGTACTATCCTTTTTTTGTTTTTGGCATGCACCAACACACTCGGCTAATTTTTTTATTTCTACTTTTTGTAGAGATAGGGGTTCTCACTATGTTGTCTAGGCTGATCTCAAACTGTTGGCCTCAAGCAATCCTCCCACCTCGGCCTCCCAAAGTGCTGGGATTTACAGGTGTGAGCCACCACGCCCAGCCTGTAATATTCTTTATAATAAACTGGAAAAACATAAGTAAGTTCTATGAGCCACTCTAGCAAATTAATCAAACCCAAGGAGAGGTCATACGATGCCTGTTTTATAGTCAGTCAGTTAGAAGCATGGGCAAAACAACCTGGGGCTTGCTACTGGCATTGGAAGTGGGAGCAGTCTTATAGAACTGACCCAACTGTGGGATCTGACCCTATCTCCAGGTGGATGCTGTTAGAACTGAATTGAAGCATACTCAGCTTGTGTCTGCTGTAGATTTGATTGCTTGCTTGCTGTGTGGAGAAATCCCCACACATTTGGTCATGGAAGTCTTCTGTGTTGATTGTAGTATGAGAGTGGAGGAAGACCAGTTTGAGTTTTTTGTACTCTCAGAAGATGTTAAATATTATAAAAGGTTTTATAGCCTCTATGGAGACAATTACATGATTTTTCTCCTCAAATCTACTAATATGGTGTATTAATTGCATTAATGGGTTTCCTAATATTCCTAATTTGCTGGGTTTTCAGCAAATCAACTTTGAATTGCTGGAATAATTGCCACTTGGCCATGGTGTATTATTTTCTTAATGCGGTGTTGAATTCTGTTTATAAACAGTTTATTTTAAAATTTTGCATCAATTTTCATACATAATATTGGTTTGTAATTTTATTTTTTTCTGCTCTGTAACAAGTTCAGGAATCAATATTATACTTGCTTCACAAAAATAATTAGGAAAATATCCTTCATTTGCTCCGGAACAATGTAGAGATTACCTTATCTTTGAAGTTTTGGTAGAATTTCTCTCTGAAATGATCTAGGTCTCGTGCATTTTGGAGGATAGTTCCTTGATAACTTCCTCCACATATTCTATAGATACTAATCTGTTTAAGCTATGTAAATTTCAACAAGTCAATTTTGGCTAACTGTATTTCCTCAGGACGTTATCCATTTCACCTAATTTTTCAAATTTATTTGCACAGTTTTCAAAATAGCCTCTTGTGATTTATTTTCTCTTGTTTCAATAGTTATTTCTCCTTATTTCTTATTTTGTATTTTTGAATTCCTTCTTCTTTTTTTTCTTAAGTTAGCTAATGGCTTGTTTATTTTGTTAATTATCTTTTTTTTTTTTTTTTTTTTTGAGATGGAGTCTCACTCTGTCACCCAGGCTGGAGTGCAATGGCGTGGTCTCAGCTCACTGCAACCTCCGCCTCCCGGGTTCAAGCGATTCTTCTGCCTCAGCCTCCTGAGTAGCTGAGACTACAGGCACATGCCACCACACCTGGCTAATTTTTGTATTTTTAGAAGAGACGGGATTTCACTATGTTGGCCAAGCTGGTCTCAAACTCCTGACTTCGTGATCTGCCTGCCTCAGCCTCCCAAAGTGCTGGGATTACAGGCGTGAGCCACCGCGCCTGGCCAATTAACTTTAAACACCAGGAATTTGATTTGAAATAGATCTAACTAGATCTATTTTTTTTTTCCTGTCACACTAATTTCTTTTAGCTTCAATTTTTCTTTTGTTGTGTTTTCTTTCTTTTTTTTTCTGGCTTTCTGAGCTGGGAATTTAATTCATTTATTTAAAATCTTTGATTTTTATTGGTAAATGTGATTAAGGCTATGAATTTCCCTATGGTTACTGCTTTAAATAATCATATTTCAAATATCTCATATATTCTGATACACTGTGTTTTAATTATCAATATGTTTTAGAAATTTTATAATTTCATTTTATCTTTCTCTTTTCATCCAAGAGTCCTTAGAGAAAGCTTTTACATTTCTAGGTGAAATGGGCTTTTTTTGCTGCTTTTGTTGTCAATAATTTCTAGTTTTATTACACTGTGAACAAAAATTTGTTTTGATGGAATATTTGGTAATATTGGTAGAATATTCGGTAATATTTATACTTTATGGAACTTACTGATATTTTCTTTATGACCTGACATATAATCAATTTTGGGAATGATCCTTGTACCTTGAGAAGAAATTGTATTTTCTATTGTCAGGCTGAAAACTTTCATATACATTCTTAAGATGTACCGTATTGATTATAGTGTTTAGTTCTTCTATATCTTCATTTTAGTTCTATATCTTCATTTTAGTTCACTAGCTCTGTCTTATTCCCAGGGGGAATTACTAATCTCCCATTAGTAATGTGTTTTTATCTGTTTCTTGGCATCTCTTGTGATTATTATTTTATAATTGTGGTGGATTTTTTTTTGCATTATTTGATGTGATTCATGATAGAAATAGCTTCATTGTGATTTGTGACTTTTAGTTTTAAAAAGTATGAACTTTTTTTTTTTTTTTTTGAGACAAGGTCTCACTCTGTCACTCAGCCTGGAGTGCAGTGGCATGATCATGATTCACTGCAGTCAACATCTTAGGCTCAAGCAATCTTCCCACAGCAGACTCCCAAGTAGCTGGGACTACAGGTGTGCACCACCACACTCAGCTCATTAACAAAAATCTTTTTTGTAAATATAGGGGCCTTGCTTTGTTGCCCAGGGTGGTCTTGAACTCCTAGGCTCAAGCGATCCTCCTGCATTGGTCTTCCAAAGTGTTGGGATTACAGGCGTCAGCCACCACTCCAGGTGGACATTGTTTTAAAAAAGCCCGCTTTACTTTCTCTCTGGAATGCTTCCCCACACCTTGCCCCCTTCCTGTGGATAATTCCTGCTTATCTTTCCCACTGGGGTCCACTGTGGCATCCCACAACTCAAGTTGTCTCTGTCTTATCTTTCTCATAATTAATATATAC
Organism: Homo sapiens; assembly: GCF_000001405.40. NCBI lineage: Eukaryota > Metazoa > Chordata > Mammalia > Primates > Hominidae > Homo > Homo sapiens. The sequence goes on from NC_000001.11 coordinate 228,716,382, forward strand.
ACTCATTAAATCATTCTATATATGTTAAGTTCCTATGATGTGCCAGGCATGATTCCAAGTACTGAGGAAGAAGTTGTGAAAATAAAGCAAGGGACTTCCCTCAGGCAGCTCACCATCACCATTTATTGTCCTTTCCTAACATTTTACACACATTATAGTTTAATATCGTCTGCTTATCACCTATAAGCTTCATGAGAAAATGGATGGTGTTTGTTTTGTGTACTGTTCAAATCCCAGCACTTATTACAGTGGTCACAACATAGTTGACATTCAGTAAGTATATATTAAATGAATCTACATCTGTCTGTATTTATTATTTTATTTTATGTATGTTATGTGTGTGTGTATATATACATATACACACACATGTGTGTGTATATGTATGTATATTCCAGATTATTGGAAACTGGTCACAATCACGCATCAAAAAATATGTTTTTTTCAGTTTGACTATGAATTTTTTCTCACCCAGGCACAGTCTGAAATCCATCATGACGAACTGTCACTAAGAAATAGAGAGCACTTCATTTCCTATTCAGGAAAAATTCCAGTTCTCATTTTCACCTTTGACAAAGAGAGTTCATTTTTATTTTCCTCTCCAGGGATTAGAAAGTTTGGAACCAGGTGGCACTCTTGTGGGCATCCTGAAATGACACTGGCTGCTGTCCATTAGGAAGGCTGTGGTGAGGCCTTGCTATCAGTGCAGATGACAGGGCTGGAAGGAACTGAAGTCAAGAGTTAGTCTTTTCGGGCCACTGAAACAAAAGCATTTCCTTTCACTGGGAGGATTTTTGGAAGAACAAAGAATTTGAGATCTTTCAAACTGTCCAAAATGCCTATTTGATATATCTACTTTGAATGGATGCCTGGAACTGCTCTGTTTGCTTCTGTAATAACATCATGCATCAATCTCCTGGCTACCAAGAAGTACAAAGCATTTTACAAGGATAAAGCCAGAAAGTCTTATAACACAAACTATTCATAAGCAACAGATTCTCTAGAACTGAAATGACCTCTCATCCTCTTGGGCCCTGTGGTATGTTAGTATCACTTTAGTGTAAACATTCTCAGATGTTAGGGAGAATATCTAAGTAATTTGTGATCTACACACACCTCCTTAGAATATGTTTAGTTCTACTCTGGAGAGGGATAGGTAGGATGGGGAGGAGAAAGCCATATTTATCACTTACCACTCCAACTTACCTCATCATTACAAAACATCAATGCCAAGGTGAAATACTGTTACTGAGTTATGCCGGAGGCATGCTCTCTGACATCTTGATGTAGGAAAAAGTTGAGAGTCAGCTTTAGTGGAATGATCTTACCATAAACAGATATTTTATTGGTGGCCAGTCATTTCAGTTAATGAGAGTGGCGCCCTACTTCCTTCTCAACCTAATCCAGTTATGTGTTTCTGGACACAGGAACTGTTCCATGGACAGCTCCCATGAATCCAGCCAGTCATTTAAAAAGTTAATTCAAGATCAGAAGAACTGGACACAATAAAAAATTCGGGTAATTCCATGCCCTCCATTAACACATTGGACCAGCAGGGTAGTGTCATGTCTGAATATAAAGGATAGGACATATGTATCAATCATTTCATCTGGGCTGACCTCCTTTGAGAACATTATGTCTGTTCTTATTCTACATAGTAAAGATAGATAACTCAGTATTTAAAAATAGGATTCCAAAAGACCATTTCCTTGGGGACACTTAAATTAGAGATCATAATGAGAACCTGGGGAGGTGACAGGAAGTGGTGATACCCTGAGTTCCCCTACGTCCTCCAAAAAAGATGCATCCATTGCTTTCCAGTGAATGGGCTTAGGAGAAAGAACAGCTTTGAAATAGGGAGAATCAAGAAGTTTGCTTGTAGCCATGCTGGGAAGATGGTAGGATGATGCAAATAAGTTTTAAGGACAGATGGAATCTACAATTAAGGTTTGGACAGCTTGGGAAGTATATTAGTTATCTATTGCCACCTAAAAAATTAGCCCAGAATATAATGGCTGAAAACAACAAGTTTATGTGAGTTAGGAATTGGGGAGCAGTTTAATTGGGTGGTTCTGACTCATGAGACTCATGAATTCCAGGAGGCAGGATTATTGGGGCTGTCTTAGATATGCCCTTTGCCAGTCTAGAAGAGTGTAGAAAAAGCTGAGCTTCAGTAAGCATCAAAACTGCCTTTATCAACAGGATAAAGAAATGGGTTGAAACAAGTATTAGACAAGTAGAGGCCCAGAGTCTTAGGGAACTTTCTGAAAGGAGGGAAGCATATGCAGAATAAGTACAAGGTGGTTTAAAGCTCAGATGCAGACTATGTGAGAGAACTTAGAAAACTGTCTTTCTCATCCAGAAGCCTAGAGTCTAAGGTGTGAACCAGGAGGACCAGGTTGGTTGTAGACTGCTATAAACACTTCCGCCAGAACATGAACTGGGAATGTCCACTGCGGGTGACCCTGGATGCTCACTGCAGGAGGGAGTGCATCTCTTACTAGGCAGGGAAGCAGGTTTTGAGAGGGAGTGAACTAAATCTGGTGTCAGCACCAACTCAAATCAGCCAGTTGAGAGATCAAAAGGAAGTATGGCTTTAAAACAGAATATATCGTCTAAAAGGTTTGAAATTTAATTTTAGAAAGCCCTTTAATGGCATCTATTCTACAGCACCTATGTTGGAGGGGGTATATGAGAGTAGAAGGAGGAGGAGTGGAGTATCCTGATGGCTTCACCAGCCATGTCAATATTTGGTTACAGTTCAGATCAAGTGAGACTTAGAAAAACATCCTTCTATATTCCTGTATCATTTTGCTTTCCTATCTATCCATTGGTTGATCAATCCATGTATTCATCAATCCATGCATTCATCCAATGTTTATTGATCATTTACTTTGTGCCTTGATTCTCTAAAGAAACAATAAAAACTGTTGGATTTTCAATTTATAAAATCGTGTGTTTTCCAAAAGTCATTAGCACACTATTCTGTTTCTGGAGTATATTATCACACTAATCAAGGAAAAGGGAACTAATATTTACTGAGGCTCAAAATCACACAATTAATAATTGGGCTGGGTGTGGTGGCTCACGCCTGTAGTCCCCGCACTTTGGAAAGCTGAGGTTGGTGAATCACTTGAGGTCTGGAGTTCGAGACCAGCCTGGCCAACATGGTGAAACCCCACCTCTACTAAAAATATAAAAATTAGCCGGGCATGGTGGTGCACACTTGTAATCCCAGCTACTTGGGAGGCTAAGGAGGGAGGATCACTTGAACCCTGGGGGTGGAGTTTGCAGTGAGCTGGGATCACACCACTGCACTCCAGCCCGGGCGACAGAACATGACTCTGTCTTAAAACAAAACAAAAAACATACAAGCAAACAACAACAACAAAAAAAATGATAAAACTGCAACTGAATTCAGGTTGGCCAGTCCTTTTGATTTACCTTTAAATAATTTATCTTTTCTTAATTCAGTAGCTTTCTCTCCTGACCTGCACTGGTTATTACTTCTTTTGAGAATACTATCATTGCTCCCAAGCAGACCTAAAATAATCCAAGAAAATTACATTAAAATATCGCCGTATCTTTTAAAAAAGTTAGACATAAGCACCCTTTTATGAACATTTATATTTGGTCTCACAGTATAATCATAAGAATTCCTATTAGAAGCCAGGCAAGGTGGCTCATGTCCATAATCCGAGCAACTTTGGAGGCTAAAGCAGGAGGATCACTTGAGGCCAGGAGTTTGATACCAGCCTGGGCAACATAGCGAGACCCCGTCTCTACAGAAAATTAAAAGAAAAAAAAGGACTCCTATTAGATTATGGGCACTTCAGCACAGTTTTTTGTGTGTGTACAAACAACAAACATTTTAAAACAACAGAAAATTGATTATCATGTAATTTTCCATACATAATACATACTATCATAGCATAAGCATAGAAGAAGTACAAGTAAGATTATCTACATGGTTATGAGCTGAAATTTGAATTCATATATCCAAAATATATAAATTTTGTCTCCCCAAAATTCATATGTTGAAGTCCTAACCCCCAATACCTCAGAATGTGACTTTATTTGGAAACAGTGTTTTTAAAGAGGCAGTTAAAATGGTCATTAGGGTGGGCCCTGATCCAATATGACTGGTGTCCTCATGAGAAGAGGAAACTAGCACACAGACACATACAAAGGAAGGACCCTGTGAAGACGTGAGAAGAAGATGAAGACAAGGACAGAGGCCTCAGGAGAAACCAGCCCTGCCGAAATACTGATCTCAGAATTCTGGACTCCAAAACTGTGAGAAAATAAATTTCTGTGGTTTAAGAACCACCCAATCTACAGTGCTTTGTTACTGTGGCCCTAGCAAACTAATTTTACAGATGAGGGGATTTGAGGTCAGATAAATAAAATGACTTGCACAGGCAGGTGGCACTATCAGGATCACATGTAGGCCCCTCTGACCACGAAGTCATCTCCCACCCCTGGCCCCGCACCCCTACCAGATGTTCCAGGGAAATAATAAATATTAACCAGCGCTTTCCCCTAAAGAAATCTCCACAGCCTTCCCAGGTTTGCACAGCAGTTGCCTCCCTGCTCATTTCTGGCCTCTGAACTCCCACTGTTGGCTTAGAATTTATCGCCTTGGGGGCACGGTGGCTCACGCCTGTAATCCCAGCACTTTGGGAGGTCTAGGTGGGTGGATCACTTGAGGTCAGGAGTTTGAGACCAGCCTGGCCAACATGGTGAAACCCTGTCTCTACTAAAAATAGAAAAATTAGCCTGGCGTGGTGGCAGGTGCCTGTAATCCCAGCCACTCGGGAGGCTGAAGCAGGAGAATCACTTGAACCTGGGAGGCGAAGGTTGCAGTGAGCCGAGATGGTGCCACCGCACTCCAGCCTGGGCAACACAGATTCCATCGCAAAAAATAAAAATAAAAAATAGAATTCGTCGCCTTGTCTTTTGAAACAGTAACTACAAGAGCTTCACTCATGATTTAGAGGACTCGAGAATATTTTTCTTTCTAAAGCAGAAACAAGATATTTTAATATTTTTTAAAAGGAAATAGATGACTACAGTTTCATTATTAGTCAAAGCCAAGCCCTTGTCCCTTTTGTTCTAGTAAGCTTGGAACACACGTGCGCCTTATCAGGCAAAACTAACTCCAGGCAGTCTGTTTACCGACACAACCAGATCCAGTGGGTGTGCTGGACAAAGAAAACCGGACTGTTTGGTTCAGAGCTGTGTCCTGAGGACACAACCCCATGACTACCCAGACTTTGGTTTTGTTTTGTTTTGTCTTGAGACGGAGTTTCGCTCTGGTTGCCCAAGCTGGAGGGCAATGGCGGGATCTCGGCTCACTGCAACCTCCGCCACCCGGGTTCAAGAGATTCTCCTCCCTCAGCCTCCTAAGTAGCTGGGATTACAGGCATGCACTAATTTTGTATTTTGTATTTTTAGTAGAGATGGGGCTTCACCATGTTGGCCAGGCTGGCCTCGAACCCTGACCTCAGGTGATCCACCTGCCTCAGCCTCCCAAATTGCTGGGATTACAGGCGTGAGCCACCACACCCGGCCTTTGTTTTCCACCGTAGTTGCGACTTCTTTCACTGAAATCCAACCCAGCACCAGAAACTAACGAAACAATTCTTTGGCAAATAGGCAGAGCCTGGTGCCCTTACAATAGGGTGGCTACAGTGCCATGTCAGATTTTTTACTGGCCACACTGTAAACAAAGGAAACAAGAATTGTTTCAAGTTCAGATGGGGTACATGGCTAACTGTGGTAAGGTGCTAGGTACCTGTATAGATAAGCTCTTATTCCTATAGGCAGAGTTTTTGGCAGATAGCTTTTCTATTTCTTCCTTCCCAGTGTCTGATATTTGGCTTTACTTAATACTTTCTAGCTCTTAAAATGTCTGTTCTTTTCCTTTAACAAGGGAGTCCTCAGAGCTCAGTCTTTGGGCCTCTTCTTTCCTTGGTCTTCACCCCCTCCCAGGCCCTCTCATCCTTCGTTGCTGATGAAACTCTGAACTTACACCTCTCACCAGCACCTCCCTTGGAACTCCAGAGTTGTACGTTCAATTGCCGGCCCAATATTTCCTCTTGGACATCTCCCAGGCAACTCAAACTTCGTATGTACAAACTGAATTCCTAATCTTTCTCCCCAAACCTGCCATTTGCTGGAATCTTCCTTTTCTCAGTCAATGATAAGTTCGGTTTGTCAGACCATCCATGGAGTTATCCTGACCTCCTTTTTTTTTTTTTGAGATGGAGTCTCGCTCTATCAGCAGGCCGGAGTGCAGTGGCGCGATCTCAGCTCACTGCAACCTCTGCCTCCCAGGTTCAAGCGATTCTCCTGCCTCAGCCTACCCAGTAGCTGAGACTACAGGCATGTGCCACCAAGCCTGGCTAATTTTTCTATTTTTGGTAGAGACGGGGTTTCACCACGTTGGCCAGGATGGTCTCGATCTCCTGACTTCGTGATCTGCCCGCCTCGGCCTCCCAAAGTGCTGGGATTACAGGCATGAGCCACCATTCCCGGCCCCGGCCTTCTCTTATACATGTAAACTCAAGACCCAATGCTCCAGGTAGATCATGCTGCGTCTACCTTAAAGGCATATTCAAAACCCAACCTCTTTGCACCACCGCCTCTGCTACTCCTGGTCCCAGCCCCTCTCCCCATTCCCCTCTCCCTAGTTATCTCTTTCTATCTGGCAGCCTGAGTTAGATGATGCTACTACTCAGCTCTATTTGATACCACTCCGATGAGTGGAGGAACACCAGTGTTCTTGGTCCTCATGCCAGTTTCGATAAAATGACATGAACACTCTTGGAGTGGTTTTAAGGAGTGGAGGGTTTAATAGGCAAGAAAGAAGGAAGACAGAAGGAAGAAGTACAGAGACAGAGGGAGGGGGCTCCAAAGCCAGGAGAGGAGACCCCAAGTGGGGTGGAAACCAGCCAGGTATATACAGAGGCTGGAGGAAGCAGTGTCTGATTTGCATAGGGCTCAGGGTTGGTTTGACCCGGCATGTCATTCACGCAGCCCCTGAAGAAACTAGCCCTCCTCCCCTAGTCTTTTAATATGCAAATGCAGGGCACCATGATGTTCTACACACGTGAGGATATGTGGGGGTGGCCATGTTGCCAGGCACATGTGGGGCAAGGGCAAGGAGGCTGTGGGAATTGCCATGTTTGGGTGGACCCAGTTTCTAATGGCCTGCATTTGCATATCAAAGGTTGCCGTCAGGCTCTAAGAGCTAAGAGCCGGGGCTTTACGAGTGGGGCCTTTACAAAAAAGGTCTTTGGAGCTGCCGTAAAAGAAATGAAAACTTTTCCTTTCTGCCTGAAATAATTTCTTAATAACTCCTACCACATATTCCAATGGCTCCCAGGCTTCTGCAGAATTTACACCATCTTTACGTTGACCTACATGTATTTTTGCCTTTTTTCCTTTCTTCTATGGCCTCACCTCCTGCCTTAGGTTCACTAGGCTCCTTGCTGCTTCTCCAACACGGAGACAGTCAATTGCTGTTTTTGCCCTTGATGGTCCATTTGCCTGGAACGCTGTTTCTTAGACATCCACGGGACTTGCTCTCTTACATCTTTCAAAGTCTTTGCTCAAATATGGCCTGCATGAGGCCTTCCATGTGCACCTTCCTGCCTGTTTTTTTTCGTCTCTGTGACAGTCATCCTGGAACATGTTACATCATTTATTTATTTTGAGTGTTGCACTGAAACATCAGCTTCGTGGAGTGTCTGTGTGCTCACTGACGTATCCCCAACTACTCTCGGCCTCACATGTAGTGGGTGCTTAATAAATATTTGCTGAATGAGCAAATCAATGCAAATCCTGCTACACAATCTATCTTATTTAGTTGGAAAAGTCCTACTGTCTGAGAAGAAAGGGTAAACCCATAGTGGCTTGAAAAATTTCTTGTGTTCCCCCCCAGATTTATTCAGGTATAACTGATAAATAAAAAATCCTATCTATTTATAATGTACAATGCAATGGCTTGATATATGTTTACAAATGACATGATTACCACAATCATTATTGTCAAGCTAATTAACATACTCATCACCTCACATACTTATCTTTCTTTTTGGTAAGAATTTTTTTTGTAGAGATGGAGTCTTGCTATGTTGCCTTGGCTAGTCCCCAACTCATGGGCTCAAGTGATCCTCCCACCTCAGCCTCCCAAAGTGCTGGAATTACAGGCATGAGTCACCAGGCCCAGCGAGGTGAGAACATTTAAGAGCTACTCTTTTAGCCATTTTCAAGTATACAATACATGATTATTAACTATAGTCACCAAGCTGTATGATAGATCTCCAAAACTTATTCCTCCTGCCTAATTGAAATTTTGTACCCTGAAAAGGTTGTATCCAGTAAGTGTTGCTTTTGAAGTTCTGGCCTATAGTAAGGTGAAGGTTTTCCTTATGCTAAATAGGTGTGGCATGGGTGCTCTTTCATTATGTGAGTCTCCACCCTTATAGATAGTAAAGACACCCATTGATAGTAAAGACACCCACTGATACACAGAAGGCCTTCAACACAAATTGATCTGCTTCATTTTCTTTCCCAGAACAGAACAAAGTCACTTATTTGTCCTTGACTTCTTTCTTGCCTGGCAGTCTTTCTCTGACATTTATTTATTTTATTTTATTTTTCTGTCAAGACTACAGTAATAGGAACAAAAGGAAAAGAAAATTGGTATTTTTTATTCAACAAAATCCTTCCTGCTGTTCATACTCATCTTCTGAGTTATTTCAGATTAATTAATTTGAAGTTGTCTTCTTGGAATATGTGCAGGAATTCACTCTGCACCCTGGAGTCCCAAAGGGCAGAGTTTCAAAATTTACAGGAACTTGAGCCCAAGAACATTTGGGCTTCCTCTATATTCCTAGGAAGGAATAGCCCAGAGGAATTTTTTACTCAGTGGTTCCCAAAGCTCATTTCCTGCTGTCCTTTAGAGGTACAGAGGTCTGGGATTCAGTTCCAGAACACGGATGGCCGTGTGGATGCTGCAATCCTGGGGGCTGTGGCCCTGAGCTTCTGCAGCCTCTCAAAGGGACTAGTGATGAGCAACCCTGAGCATCTCCCTTGAGCCTCTGTGGCTCACAGAGCCCATTAGAGCAGCAACAAGGGACGCCATCCAAAGGCTGTGAGAGTGCCAAAGAACAGAGCACTTCCCCAGGGGCTGAGCACCGTGGGCAGAACGATGGCAGCATCTTCAGATCTAGACAGGCCTTTCCATGGTCTTTGCCTAATGAAATCCTAAGGATGCTGCCATCCATGACTATAGACAGCCACAACTATAAAATATTTTTAATGCAATTTAAGACTTTCAAATTTTGACCAATTACAAAGCCATCTGAATTAATAAAATTTTAGAATTGGAGAAAACAAATTTTAAACATAAAGTAGTTGATTGTTTAACGAGTCTTGGAGTTAATAAAGGGACTCAATAAATCTTCACAGAATTACTTTAGTGAGTAGATAAAAAAATGATTTCAAATCAGCAGGCACATGCATAAAAATGATCTTTCAATGGAGTATGATAAATGTTCTACTTCTTAATTACTTAAGGTCACCTTTACAATCTTCTTACTATCTTAATAAATATAAATAATAGCTAATAGGAGGAGTTTTAAAAACTTTTAAAAACTTCCAAATTATCATGGGTTTCTTCTCTCTTTTTTTCTCCTTCCTCCTTATGTTTTATTATTTATGCACACTGTTATTTTTCTCCCCTCTCCTAATATACACTGGAAAACCTTGGAGTGTTTCCTTTGTCTTTCACTGCCGGTCCGTACGTACTCATGTGTACTGTGTACCTCAGACTGAATCAGTGATCAAGGGTGCTACTGTTGTTCTGTCCAGTGACCATGCTGCTAAAGCCTATCAGTACAAACTTCTTAAAACAACTTCATTGCTCTGTTGTCTTGTGTAAGTCTAATGGTTTGATGGAAAGGTTATAGGGTATGGTAAAAATCTCTGCTCTAAGGCCGGGCGCAGTGGCTCAAGCCCATAATCCCAGCACTTTGGGAGGCCGAGGCAGGTGGATCATGAGGTCAGGAGTTCGAGACTCAGCCTGATCGACATGGTGAAACCCCGTCCGTACTAAAAATACAAAAATTAGCCAGGCGTGGTGGCACGCGCCTGTAATCGCAGCTACTCAGGAAGCTGAGGCAGGAGAATTGCTTGAACTTGGGAGCCAGAGGTTGCAGTGAGCTGAGATCGTGCCACTGCAATCCAGCCTGGCCAAGACAGTGAGACTCCATCTCAAAAAAAAAAAAAAAAATCTCTGCTCTAGAGATTGAGTCCTGATTCTGTTAGGAAACTCAATTTCTCTGAGCTGCCATCTTCTAATCTATAAAATTGGGGAAATAATAGCACAGGTTTAGATTTTGTGAGGACTAAATATGACAATGCATGTATAATCAATGTGGTTATAATTTGTTGTAGATTTGTGATCACCTGGAAGATGAGGGGGAGGAGGGTCTTTTTGGACCCAAGATTGTGCTAAAGTCTTCTCACCTGGTCAGAGTAGGGTTGATTGCATCCCCATCCAGAAGTCTGTGCTAAGGCATCTTCTGACTTTCTGTTGCACTTTGCACATCCCCTTGCCCTCACCATACACTGTCTTGCATTACAGATATTTTACAGGTATCTTCTTTTTTACAAGAATTGTCAACTCCTTGACACTCTAAGCATGTCTGTGTTGATCACTATTGTTCACACTAAGTTCATGAGTCAGATAGGTCCATTAAATAATGTAGCTAATGACTACACCTCTGCTCTTCTAAAATCAAATTCCTTTAATGATCTCAATCATAGCATAAGTATTTACCTTTCAATACATTCTTCTGGGATGCATATGATAGAGAAAACAGTCCTCTTGATGCAGTAGACACTCATTTCTTCTCTCTCTCTCTCTTTTTTTCTGGGACAGTGTTTCACTCTGTTGCCCAGGCTGAAGTACAGTGGCACGATCTCAGCTCACTGCAACCTCTCTGTCTCCTGGGTTAAGGTAATCCTCCCACCTCAGCCTCCTGAGTAGCTGGGACCACAGGCACATGACCCCATGCCCAGCTAATTTTTGTATTTTTTTGTAGAGACGAGGTTTTACCATGTTGCCCAGGCTCGTTTCTTCTCAGACTGACAAGCAGATTTATATGGCATTTGGAAGTCCATACATTCATTCTGAGTCTTATATTGTTATTGCAAACCCAGCAATGAATTTTGACAACTACTAGAATATGTGAAAATACCTTTCTTCTTCCCATTGTAGGACTGGGGGAGTGCTCATGTGCTCAGCTTGGAAGAGCTAGAAAAGGGAGAGGGCTGCAGTTTCTGGAGGGAAGTAGGATAGTCTCATGATTCTAGAACTGCTGGCCAGGGTGATTATGGTGGTTGAGAAATGATTACATGGCTAGTTCTTATCTTCAGGGTGACTGAAAAATTAGGGGAGATCACAGTTTTGCAATAGCTAAGAGGGGTTTCTAATGAGTTCTTATCATCTCTGAGAATTTGGGCAGCTGGGGAACGTTTGGGAAAGTTTCTGTGATGTGTGTTTGGGGAGGGAAGTTGGAAATGAATCAGTTTCTCTGAAGGTCTGGGAAGGAGGCTTTTCTGTGCAAAGGGAGGGTCAGACAGCTGGGAAGACCAATTGGGATTGCTATAGCAGCTCCAGGTCCCAGGGAATGGAGATGGCCTTTCTCATCAAAGAGGAATGGCAGGGTTGCAACAGCTGAGAAGACCCAGAGAAGGGGATTTAACAGAGGAAAATAAACCAAGACTAATGCAGGAAAGGTGCCACCAGTGTAGCTCAGCCTGCCTAGAACAGCATCTGTTTTCCACGTTAGCAGCGAGTCTAGCCTTTCTCCTCTAGGCAAATCTACCTGCCATCCCTCTAAGGGCTCTCCCTGGTGCTTTCATTTTTCTTCCAGAACTGATGCATATAAATTGCCATTTATCTCTTGTGATAATTCTGCAGAACCAGTTCAGTTAGTTAAAATATTAAAACACTTATAAATAGCCATGGTGGAAGATGATACCCCCATTAAAAATAAATATTAAAGATGTAAATGATGTGCAGTACTTCATGTTCCTGGAAAAGCTTTGTATAAATAGGATTTTGGTACTCAAATCACATTTAAATTTTATTAGAGTGTTATTTAATTCAAAAAGTTTACAATATGTGATTAGCACTGTGCTAAGCTAAAGCAAACAGTTCTTTGGAATGCAAATAACCATGAGTTCTGTTTAATATGATTTATATGTTTGAATTTGTTTAATCTTTAAAATTTAAAAATATAGCATGATTCACAAAAGTGAATGAAACAAATATATAGCCAATAATTACTATACAGTGCACACCTATAAAACCACCACTCAGATCAAGAAATTGCCTGAACATCAGAAGTTTCCCATGACCCCTTTCCTTCCTGAATGTAACAATTGCCCCCAATTACTCTGACATCTAGCACTGATGAGTTTTGTCAATTTCTTTTCTTTTCTTTTTTTTTTTTTGGAGACAGAGTCTCGCTCTGTCGCCCAGGCTGGAGTGCAGTGGCACGATCTTGCCTCACTGCAAACTCTGCCTCCCGGGTTCAAGCGATTCTTCTACCTTAGTCTCCCAAGTAGCTGGGGCTACAGGTATGCACCACCACGCTGGGCTAATTTTTATATTTTCAGTAGAGTCGGAGTTTCACCATATTGGCCAGGCTGTGCTCGAACTCCTGACCTCATGATCCACCTGCCTGGGCCTCTCAAAGTGCTGGGATTACAAGCATGAGCCACCGTGCCTGGCCAAGTTTTGTCCATTTCTAAATTTTATATAAATCAAATAAGATAGTTTATACTCCTTTGTGTCTGATTTCTTTCACCTCTCATTTAGTTGATGAGATTCATTCCTGTATGTTCACTCATTTTCTTGACTGAATAGTAGTATATCATGAATTACCAAATTAACTCATCCATTTTACTGTTTTAGACATTTATATGGTTTTTAGTTTTGAGCTCTTATAAAATTGCCATTATACGCATTTGTTCACCCACAGAAATCCATGTGTTCACTCATAGAAATGCACGGGTACATATACAGACAGGAATGCACATGTTCATGTATAGAAATGCAGGGTATGCACACACAGAAATGAGTGTCACAGGTGGCATAGTTACAAGATGCAAGAAGACTGCATCCCTGAGTCTCCACTTGAAAGGGAGCTGCCTTGGAGAGCTACTAAATCTGCTGTGAATTTTGCATGACCAAAAAATTAACTCCTATGTTTCTAGACATTGAAATTTTGAGTTCACTTATTATTGCAGCATAGTACAGCCTAATCTGACTAGTATAAAACAACATAAACAGTTTCAGAAATAATTTTTACAATCAAAATTAAGGATTGATTTTTACATCTTAAACTTTCATGATACCAATGGAAGAGCTTAATTTATCCATTCTAGTTATCTACAAGGTGATGGCAGGTGATAAAAGGACTTCTGGAGGCAGGGAAACTAGTATCAGCACATCCAACCAACCATGTGGTCTGAGCCCTTACCATGACACTAACTGATGTTTGTGATTCCTGAAAGGAGCCACTGGTGGCCCATTTGGTGGTTTGGTGACATTTATATGATTTCCCCATCTTTTCTAGTGAAACATGGCAAGACATTTTCCTTGTCATTTTTTTTTCCTAGGATGACATCCCCAGTGGTAAACAAGAAACTATTGGTCAGGGCCCAGTCAGGAAATCAGAGCCACTCCAAGGTACAGGGTTAAGGAAGGAGAGCTTTCACAAGTTTGGGAATTGCTGGGGAAGTTCAGAGGGAAACAGTGCCTAACCCTGACCAGCTGAAACCCTTGTGCAGGATACTGGTGGGAACTTGGAGAAAAGCCAATAGTAAGTTATGCAGATATGGCCCTTGGAGGCTGTGGAAGGGAAGCTTGAGGCATGAGGTGTAGGGACTGCAGCCTCTTTGGGGCCCAGGGGCTGGGTGAGGGCTGAAGGCTGCTCTGGGTCAGCAGAGCCAGCAGTGAGATGATATCACTGCAAAGCAGGAGGCTAGTGAGGATGTGCTGGGCACCGCTGTGTCCATCCACTGGCATGTTTGACCATATGACCCTCCTCCACTTCCCTTCAGTCTTCTCAATTCTGAGAATCATGTCTCCGGACAACTTTAGCCGAGAACCATACAAAGAAGGAAATTCTGGGAGCAGACAGCCATGCTGGCAATAGACAACCCAGCTTAGAGTCTCCAGTTCTAGAGAAATATTCTTCTGATGTCCTCTTATAGGGTATTGAAAAAACTAGGGCACTGCTGAAGGAAAGAAATCAGATTAATGTGTCCAAGGCAAAGGGTTACCATTTAAAGAGTGAATGAACACACAGAGTTATATGACCTGCTAAAATGAAAGATCCAAAAAAACCGTGCTGTTCTGATTTGGTACTCAGTAAATGGTGAAATGTTATCAATAGCAGGAAAAACAGCTTTATATTTAATATGATGATGACAATGACACCTGGCAAGGAATATGTTGAGCAGATAAAAATTTATTTATTTCTTAAATATATCAAAAGATACAAAAGTGACATGTACACAGTGGAAAGTCTATTAGGACCTTTTTTTCTTTTTACCATTTTAGTAAAAAACTACAAATTCACTATTAATTATTTGCTAGTGGAACAGTTAAAATAACTTGATGGAAAAAATCCTAGAAAATGTATTAATACTGTGCTAGGGGAAGAGTTTTGTGAACTGGGGATCCTCCCTTTTAGGGGATTATGAGCAAGGGTAGGTGTTGTATAATCAGTAGATGATTTCACTAGATAAGGGCTGTGATAGGGACAAGCACAAATATATCCACATAAGGGGTCAGGGAACATTTCTGGACTTGGATGAAACACCAATTTGTTTGGTGTGGAGGTCTGCTTTCCTACGTTGCCTGTAGAAGATTCTTATGAATAGGGCAAGCGTTAGTTCTGAGCATTTTAGATAAGGCTGTAGGGGACTGATTCAGTTGAGCCCAGAAAGATGGGCCCAAATGAGTGGGTGTGGGACAGTTCAACATAAAAAGGGGTAAAGCAAGAGAGGGAGGCTATGGAACACAAAAACGAACAGATGGCCAGATGGAGAAGCAAAGCCAAGTTTTGTCGGGCCTGAAGCTTATCACATTTTGAGGACTTCATTAAGAAAAAGAACACAAAATTAAGTATAGAAAATTAGGCAGAAAAATAAACATCCTTGGAGGAGGTGACACCTAAGCGGAGAAAGAGCAAGTTCATGGAAGAAGGAGGAAGGGGTTACAGACCTGTAGTTCGAGGAGAAGACACCTTCTCTGACATGTTGTTGGGGACCCAGGGGTGGGTTGCTGGAAGTCCTGGAGGAGGTGTTGGGGGTAGGTAGGGGGGATGAATGCTCACAGCTGGGCTGGAGGGCCTCAGAGAGACAAGATCTTAAGAACGGAAATTCTGCACCCAGTTTTCAGAATTTTCTAGGCCCACTGCACAATGAAGGCGTTGTACTGTCTTGGTGAAAAACAAATGGGAATACATGAGGTGTAATGCATTTTTTGTCTTAAAACTGAGCAAAGACATGGTTTTCTATTAATAGCTGCAAGAAGTGGTCAAATTTCCTTCATTCATTCTAAAAATATTTTATAAAAGCATAAAAATACAACTGTCCATGTTTTGAGAGTCCATGTTTTACATTCTTCTCCTTTTCTTTCTTTCTTTTTTGCAGAACCGTCAAGTTCAAAACATGTTTTCCTTTCACTTACGTATTTACCACTGCTTAAGTATTTATTAAGCACCTACTACTTGCCCCACGTGCTTCTAAGTGTGGGATATAGGAATGAGCAACATTAAGTTTCTGATTTCATGGAGCTTGTAAGAGGAGACAGACAATAAGCAAATAAACAAACAAATATATCATACAACTTGAACCCACACACCTTGGAGGGCTTCTTGTAGCATTAGTTCCAAGCATTTTAGATAAGGCTGTAGGGGACTGATTAAGTCGAGCCCAGAAACATGGACCCAAATGAGTGGGTGCGGGACAGTTCAACGTAAAAAGGGGTAAAGTAAAGGCATTCTGTAAAGGGGTAAAGTGGTAGGCATTCTGTCATCTCTCTGCTTTTGGACTTGGATGAAATACCGAACTGTTTGGCGTGGGGTCTGATTTCCTATGTTGCCTACAGAAGAGTCTCATGAATAGGGCAAACATTAGTTCCCGGCATTTTAGATAAGGATGCAGGGAGCTGACTAAGTTGTGTCCAGAAAAACGGGCCCAAATGAGTGGGCGTGGGATGATATTCAGCATGAGAAGGGGAAAAGCAAGAGGGGGACGCACAGGACACAAAAACTGACAGCTGGCCAGATGGAGGGGCAAAGCCAAGTTTTGTAGGGCCTGAGGCTTATCACATTTGTGAGACTTCATTAAGAAAAAAAAATACAAAATTAAGAATAGAAAATTAGATACAAAAACAAATGTTTAAAGTGAGAAATGCATCACAATAAGTTACAAATTTTAAAAGGCTAACAAACACCATAAACTTAAACAAAATACATAAGACATGACATTTTAATAAACTGCTTGACACACTTCTATGACATTATTTTCATTTTTCAGTTGCATACCCTTTGATCACTTCTTCAGTTTTGTAAGATATTTTCTATAAGAACAATAGGAAGTTACTTCACACACAGGTGAACTTGCTTTTTGTTGTACTACTACAGCCTCATGTCCTTACAAACATGGGAATTCAGATCATTCATTTCATGTGATTTTTCTCCAAAAATGTATGATGCATTTGTAAGTGTATCTGCTGCATTTAGAGTACAGGTACATTTCTGACAGCAGACAACTTCTGTTTTGATCAGGTTTAGTAGAGAGAACCAAACCTTCTCTAACAATGTTGTGTTTTCTTCTGTTTGTTTCTTTTTGAGACAGTGTCTCACTCTCGCCCAGGCTAGAGTATATTGGTTGATCAAGGGCTCACTGGAGCCTCGACTTCCCAGGCTCAAGTGATCCTCCTACCTCAGCCTCTGGAGTATTTGGATTACAGGTGTGAGTCACCACACCTGGCTAATTTTTTTATTTTTGGTAGAGACAGGGTTTCGCCATGTTGGCCAAGCTGGTCTCGAACTCGTGGCCTCAACCGGTCTGACTGCTTCAGCCCCCCAAAGTGTTGGGATTACAGGCGTGAGCCACCGCACCAGCCGATATTAGGTGCTTTATGATGGAAAGAATTGCCAGACTAGCTTCCAGCTCTGCCCATCTCAAGCTCTGCTACTCTTGCTACTGGAACCCTTCTAGTGTTGGGGAAAGTAAGACAGTTAAGGGCACCAATGTGACTCTCACAGAGGGTCATAGGTATGTCAGTGGTAGCCATTCCTATACCTGGATGGCTAGCAACAACATATCTACATAGGAGAACTGTAAACCACATAAATATATCCTGTCATCACAGCCAGGGCGAGGGAGAGGCAAGTCAGGTACCTGAGGCTCAAAACTTAACATTGGCACTTGCCTGACCCTGAGAGTAAGGGCCCTCTAAATTTGTTGTTTTTTGATATTGCCTCTGAATGCTCAATTTGTCATAAATTTTGCATCCTTGACATCCCCCTTATCTCACCTTCATCCTGATTCTGTATCCCATTACACCCAAACAACCTGTTTGGGTCTCCCCAACTTCACTTTCTTTGGCTGATCCCCAAAATCTTCATGGCCTCTTCAAAGTCACTCAATATGAGGGTAAGTTACAGTTTAAAAAGACAGTGAACATAACTGGTGGTGATTAAAATACTTTTTTTTTTTTCAAAATTTACAGAAACATATTACCACGTGTACACATTGCTAGGTCTTCCAATGTGAAAGTGTCCTTTGCAAGTCAGGGGTCCTGGATTCAAGCTTCTAACTTCTTGATAAATCCATCTCTGCATTCTGACCATGGCCATACGTTCAAGATTACGTTTATCATACTGACTTATTTTTGCCTCCAGGATTTTGGTTAGAAGCTCAGGCTCTGGGGCTAGACTATTTGGGTTTGGATCCTGGCATTGCCACTTACTAGCTTGTGGAATCCCAAAACGTTACTTAATATCTCTGTGCCTCAGGTGTTCTCATCTGTAAGTAATGTTAAGATTAAAAGAATTAGTTCTTGAAGAGTGCTTACAACAGTATCTGACACATTATGAAAGTTCAGTATTTGTTATTGTTATTTTTACTACCACTAGTATCAATGTGTATTAATAATATGTGGCCCTTCTCACACCACGCTGTACACCCCCAGGACTCTTGGTATTCTGACTTGGCTAAGAGGCGTCCTTTTTCTGAATAGACTGTTGACCACATGTAGAAGGAAGGCAGAGAGAGAAATGAATCAAAGGGAAACGGAATATTTTTTCAGACATATTAATGTCTCCGAATTACCTTTAAGTAAATGAAGGAATTGGGGGTATAAAAAAATTTCTGGAGCATACATGTATAAAGGTTCACGGCATGCCGAAAGACAAAGTCAAAGGAGCATTCACAATGGAGCTGGCATCCTTTTGCTTCAAAATGAGAAAAAATCACACGATCAGCTGCAGTTAGACTTAAGGAAAAAAGCTGTCTGTTAATTCAATCTCATTCGCAGGACAGGCCTCCAGGACACTTCATTTTTCCCCCTGGGTGGAGCCGTGGCCAGCCGGGGGCTCCACGGAGTGAATAGGAGGCGGCTCAGGCTTCCTGGCTCGCGTGGGCGCCAGAAAGCGGAACCTCCCGGGCCAGTCGCGCGGTGGTCACCCTCTTGGGAGCTGGGGAGGAGGCTGCGGAGGCTGGCCCGGCTCCTTCGGGCGTCGCTTCCCGGACCGGGTGCGCGGGGTCCCCCGGAACGTGTGTTCCAGGTCCTCCCGCGCCAGTGTTCGCAGTCCCCGCCTGGTCGCGGCGGCGCCTCGGGCGCGGGTGCAGGCGCGCGGCGCGCAGGCGGGGGGCGCTGTGGTCTTGGCGCGGGGACCGAGCCGCTCGGCCAGACCCGCCTCTTTTCCCTCCCCGCCAGCCCGCCCGCCTGCCCGCCCCCCACGCGTCGTGTCGCCGGGAAGCCGGGCGGAGACAGAGCGCTTGGGATCCACGGCGCTCGGACCGCTGTCCTCCAACAGCGCAGGGCAGAGCGGCTGGCGCCGCCGGAGCGCGGAGCCACGACCCTCCCTGGCCGCCTTTGTCTACTGGCCGTGCGGCCCGGAACCGCCACTCTCCAGGGCCGGGGACGCGCCCGCAGCTGTCGGTGACAGCTCCTCCCTACCGCAACCCTCCGGGGCGGAGGGGCGGTCGGGCCGGGCCCTGCTAGCCCGCGACCGCAAGCCCGCGCTCGCGGATCGATGCCCCCGCAGCAGGGGGACCCCGCGTTCCCCGACCGCTGCGAGGCGCCTCCGGTGCCGCCGCGTCGGGAGCGCGGTGGACGCGGGGGACGCGGGCCTGGGGAGCCGGGGGGCCGGGGGCGTGCGGGGGGTGCCGAGGGGCGCGGCGTCAAGTGCGTGCTGGTCGGCGACGGCGCGGTGGGCAAGACGAGCCTGGTGGTGAGCTACACCACCAACGGCTACCCCACCGAGTACATCCCTACTGCCTTCGACAACTTCTCCGGTGAGCTGGCCGGGGGGCCGGGGCCGGGGGCGCGTGGCCGCGGTCCACCCAGGGGAAGGAAGGTGGCGCGAGGGTCGCGAGGTTCCCAAGGGGGCTGCAGGGCCCCGGGCGCGGCTCCAGCTGGGAAGCCGGACAAATGAGGAGTGCAGGACGTTTCCTGAGTCTCAGGGACCGGGCAAGCGCGGAGCTAACACGAAAGGACCACGGCGGAGTGGGCTTGGAGAGAGGAGGGCGGAGCGGCAGTCAGAGCCTTGCCAAAAAAAAAAAAAAAAAAAATCTCACAATTTAAGCAACAGATAAGTAGGAGTGAAACAGGTTGAGTTCAGGGTGCCCGGTCAGTTTGTTGCATAGAGCAAAGTTTCCTGAGGGCGACGTCGCTGGCGCCGCTGCAGAGTTTCAATCAGAAGGTGACGCGCAGGTGCCTTTACCTGAGCGTCGCTCCTTTGCTTTTAGGCGGCTCAGCTCACAAGGGGCGTCTCCGCTTTAAAGAGCCGCGGAGACGCCGGGAAAACACTTGATTTAGTGAAAAAGCGCGAGCGGCCCTCGTGAAGGCTTAGGTTTGGATGAAACCTGAAGAGTAAACACCATTTCTTTCTTCTGAGCCCCACCACCTTCCCTGCCCACATGGGCTCGGATTCTGATTGTTGGTATCTTTTCAGGATCCCTTTAAGCTACTTAAAGCTCCTATGTACCGGGTGCGATGCCATTTCCCTTGGTAGATACAAAGAGAAAGGAATTCTCTATCTTGCTATTCAGGTCTTTTTGAAATTTAAGAAAAAGTTAAAATTCACAGAAACTAGTATGAAACACTTAACTGTCTTGCTTCTTTAAAAAAAAATTGCTTCTCTGACCTTCCTTTCATCCCAAAGGTACCTTAGAGAAATGGGTGCTGTACTGGTGGGTTCCCACCGCAGGGTATTGTTTCTTCCCCTCCCCCCACCCCACCCCTGCAGCTGACTAGTATAAATATTTAGAAACAATTAGAAAGTTGTGTAGAAAGAGACAAAACTGACTGCTTAATTAAAATAGAAACCTCCACAACATGTCCTGCTGCAGGCCTCTCCACACTCCCCGAGTCCCCGGATCCCAGTGGAAAGGGGGCCATGGCTTTCTTTTTTCTTTTTTAATCCTCCTTTTGACCTGACATAGAGATAAGGAGTGCCCTCATTTCTTAAACAGGACAATGCGGGCAGCCTGTGTTTGCACATGTTCTCAAAACACACTAGAATTGTATGATAAACCCTGAAGTTGGGGAACCTTTCCCAAGGGAAAACAGAATTATTTGTGAGGTTTTCCACTGATTTAAAACTGCAGGGTTGCTTCCCATTTACCCCCAGTGTTGTTTTTAGGTCCTTTGAAACAAGTGTGACAGGAAAATAAATCTTCCAGGACTGGGAGAAAAGCATAGGCCTTTTTAGGGTCACCATCAAAGCGTTCAGGGATTTGCTGCCTGGTTCACGGTAATGGAGTGACTTGCCAGCCGTGGGTTTGTATACAAAAATGCCTCCACAGGGCCTCCTTGTTTTTGGCTAGTCTTTAATTCATTAGAGGACCTAAAATAGGAGCAAAGGGGTTTGGAGTGAGAATGATAGTGAAAGCTAAAACTATTAGTATTCCGAAAGGGGTTAAAAGACACCTCCTGATTGTCATTTTGGTTTTGTTTTTAAGCGGTGGTGTCTGTGGATGGGCGGCCCGTGAGACTCCAACTCTGTGACACTGCCGGACAGGTCAGTATCACGTTACAGCTCAGTGCTGGGAAAGGAAACAGCCTTTTAAAGATTTCCAAATAACCTTTGATTCCCTCAGTCAGTAACTGGGTCATTCTAAAGCCTCATGAAGTGGACCCACCCCTGCTGTTGGCCCTTCTCTGAGGGTGGGCAGGGGCCAGGTTATTGGCCGGCAGGAAGCAGAGGAAGATACCTCCAAACTAATAAAGCAGGGTTTGGCCCAGCTCTGCGTAACCAGGCAAGGGAGGAAGCAGTGTCAAGAACAGCTCTTGTAGGAGTTTCTATTACTTACTCCCTGGTTTTTATGAAAAAATTTCAGTGATGCTTTGTCATCATTTCCCAAACTAAGTTAGTGATGTCTTATAATCGTTTTATTAAAGGCCAGTGAGTCAGATATTGAAGAAATTTGCTCAAGAAAAAGATGGAATTTACATCAGTAAGGGTTAATATTTCCCTTCCTGAGCTATGGTTTGACTCGCTAGGACCAGCCCCATCACTTGAAGCACAGATACATTTGTCAGAGCAGTCCTAAGCTGGAGGGATGAACTAACTGGGCTTATTCTATCCAAACTGTGAACGCTGGTTCTTGTCTCGAGGGCTGGGCCCTTGGAGGAAATAGCCAGGGAGTGTAGGGTTCCCTCTTTGTGTTCCCCAGAAGAAGCCCCCATTGGTGGGTACTCGAGTCATTGAAGTCAGGCTGTGCCTTGTGAACACCCAGGGGTACTTGATTTTGGCAAAGTGATAGTTAATGAACTTGTCTCTCTAGTATGTTCTAGAGTTCAGCAAAGTTCCGGGGGTACTTTGTAGGCAGGTGAAAGTGCCCCCTTCACTTTCTGAGGTGCCATCACATGACTATCTGTGTTTATGAAGGCACTGGCTTTCCACTGCCCCCCAGAGCCTCATCTACGCCAGAGCTTCCAAGTTGCTCACCTACTCTGGGACAGCAGATTCAGAGCTAAGGACAGATCTTATTTTTTAAACCTGAAGATGACATAAGACCGTGGAGCCTTGATCTCCAAGGAACACCGGGCTGGTGCAGGCCATAGCTTGGGAGCACTTCAGCTTGGAAAAACCAAGCACTGTCCGTATTGTATTGTCTGTAGAAAACAAAAATCAGGCTGGGTGTGGTGGCTCATGCTCTTTGGGAGGCTGAGGTGGGAGGATTGCATGAGGCCAGGAATTTGAGACCAGCCTGGGTAGCATAGCAAGACATCATCTCTACAAAATAAAAAAATTAGCCTGGTGTGGTGGCACTGTCTGTAGTCCCAGCCACCAGCCACTCAGGAGGCTGAGGTGAGAGGATCGCTTGAACCCAGGAGTTTGAGGCTGTAGTGAGCTATGATGGTGCCACTGCACTCCAGCCTGGGCGACAGAGCAAGATCCCATCTCTTGGGGGTAAAAAAAAAGAAAAATCAAAGAATACAGTCACTTCTAGCACTGAATCTTTCTGAATGCAATGGTGATATTTATAATTCAAGCTTCATTTCCTTGTATGAAGTGAGGATGCTTTGTCTACCAGGGGGTCAGGTTTTCTGAGTTTTAAAACATGGCCAGCCAGGCGCGGTTGCTCACGCCTGTAATCCCAGCACTTTGGGAGGCTGAGACGGGTGGATCATGAGGTCAGGAGTTCAAGACCAGCCTGGCCAAGATGGTGAAACCCCGTCTCTACTAAAAATACAAAAATTAGCTGGGTGTGGTGCCGGGCGCCTGTAATAGCAGCTACTCAGGAGCCTGAGGCAGACAGTTGCTTGAACCTGGGAGGCGGAGGTTGCAGTGGGCTGAGATCGCGTCACTGCCCTGCAGCCTGGTTGACAGAGAGAGATTCCATCTCAAAAAAAATAAAACACAGGCAGAGGAACATGTCAGTAAACATAGCCATCGGACCTGCTGAAGTCAGACCCTGAGGATAAGATGGAAGTCAGGAAAATACAGGAAGTCCAAAGGCACAGTTAGCAGGGAGCCTTACGGGCTGGAGCAGAAGCTCAGTGCACCTACCTGCCCCAGGATGTCACTCAAATATCACTGTCCACTGGGCTCCCCGTAAGTGTTGGCTCTTCAAGCAGGATGCAGCTTCTTGAGCTGGGGTTTCATGCCCAGTGCCCAGCATAGTGCCTGGCACATAGCAGGGCTTAATCTCGTGGTTTTAGAATGGATGAACCAGAGAAGGACCAGGTGGTGGGGGTATAAACATAAGTTGTGGGCCTGCCCCTTAATAGACTTACAGTGTGGAGGGAAGACAAATGGAAGCTCGTGAAGGAGCAAGCAAAGGGAAGAAAAGAGGTTCGGGCTTAGAGGTGCAGGCTGGTTGGGCCTGGCAGGAAAACCTCTGAGCAGAGTTTTGAAAGACAAATAGGAATTTTACCAGAAGAACTTTGCATAAATGACTGAATCATCAAGGAAGAGTTAAATTGTTCCTGTTTAAAAATCAGGGAAGCACAAGCATCACTTTAGTAGTATTTTTGCACAAAAAAGTTTATAATTAGGGAAAAACGAAGGTTTTGGTGCTACATTTGTAAGTTTCAGTTTATTTGAAAATTATTCTTCTGGCCTCTTAGCAATATTTTCAATGAGATTTACTGTATTTCTTAACCTTTGTGTACTGGTTAGAAGAGTATACCCAATTAAATAATGAATAAGACCACTATCTAAAAATTTGTAGACTTTTAGAACCAACTTCAAAACTTTTGAAGAAGAACCATCTTCAAAAACTATGAAAAATAAGCTGCTGGTAAGATAAGTCAGTTGTTCTGTTTTTGTTTTCCTGATCCCCCATTTATAAATTAGTCTTTGTTTAGACTACTAGCCAAGCTGGTCAAAGTGGCAGTTCTTTTCTACTCTCCCTAGTCCTGATCTGATAAAATACATTTTAAGGGACTTGCTGTGATACCTGCCAAGTTTCCTTATGGAGGAAGGAACACATACCTCTTCTAGGCAGTTGACATAAGAGCCTTGAGGGTTAAGTGACTCCACTGACCTCCACTTCAGATGCCTGGAGAATCAACGTGAGCACAGATAGGCTAGAACTTGGGGATGTGGAGCTGGAGTGTGGGTTTCCCACAGAAGTTGATGGGAGCAGAGTATGGATGGCTCTACATGCTGAAGAAATCACTTCTTGTACTTTGGCTTTTCTTGTTAGGGAGGGTAGGCGAGTCTATAAGATGTCAAAAGGAGTTTTTAACACTGGTCTTACATCACTCAAGGGCAGATTGATCAGAGACAGACTGGAGGCTTGAAAAAACATACCTTTGGCATAAGAGAAAAAAGTATTGCGGAAATAGGAGTAGTTCACTGGAGAGTTGCCAATAGAAGCTGAAAATTCTTCAGCCTTTTGACCCATAAAGTACTTGGAAAAATCTTATACTGAAAAAAAAAAATCAAGTTGCAGCTAGACCAGAGGGATGTAGAATCCAGTCTCGTCTCTCTGCCCCGCCAACCCTGATCAGACTTCTGTGCAGTGTCCGTACCACAGACCTGGCAAGCACATGCAAATTGCTTGGCCTCAGAACGCCTTTTCTTAAGGGTGCATTCCAGTTGTCCTCATTGCACGTGTGTATTGCATTATTTCTAAGATTTCAGGTCAGGCACTGAGCAGGAGGGTCTAATTTCTGTTTTATTTCTCAAGCCCCTTAGCCAGAATCTCAAGAGATCTGGGGAGATAGCTTTCCAAAGCCCCCTCAGAAGTCCCAGCCCTTGTGCTTGCCTTTATTTTTCTCAGTAATGCAACCCCAGATACCAGGGCATGGCCAGGGGTGCAGCTACCTGAGGGGGCTGCCTTAATACTGGTCTCAGTTTTATGCTTCTTTCTTTGAGGCCCTCTAAGAACAGAGGGAGCATTCCATTAAAAGATCTTCATGACTGAGCCATAGTCTACCTGGCTGTGTTTCTGTGTTTATTTATTCATCACAAAGTTGGCATGAAGAAACTTAAGTCATTATTTTTCTTTTTAAAAATTTTTTTTAGAGAGCAGGGTCTTGGTATGTCACCCAGGCTGGTCTCAAACTCCAGGGCTCAAGTGATCCCCCTGCCTCAGCTTCCCAAGTAACTGTGACTATAGGCACGTGCCACCACATTTGGCTAAGTCATACTTTTTCAACTTTCGCTTACAGAAGCCTCACAAGTGACATTCTGAAATACCACATTGATTGCTGAGCATTTTAGCTGGTTGACTTTAATGTGATTAGTTGGTTGGCTGTCGTCCCGTAATTGAAACATGGGGCCTCAAATGAAGAAAGTACATTCAAATAAGTTACAGGTTTCTTTTATACCAAGAGAAAAAAGCCACGGATGGAGTATAATGTGATGTAAATGGTACTTGGTAAATAATCGGAGTGTGTCAATTGAGTAATGAAAAACATGAATGGCGTTGAACTTTTTCTTGTCATTGGGAAATTATTTATACCTGAGGATGGTTGGCACCAACAGATATACATTTTACATAGGAAAGAGTAAATATTTTTCTACAAAAGAGTTGAGCAAAAGTTGTCAGTTAGCTGAATATGGTGCTACAGGGAACTATAGGATGTTTTCTGTAAAGAAATGGTAATTTGGAGAACAACATCTGTCTGTTCACAGCCAAATCCCCTCGCCTGCCACTGTGCCTTGAGTGTAGGTGATGTTCAGTGTGTCTGTTAAATGGATGACCACGGGAGAGCATTGGCAGCACAACCGTTGGTTTATTTGTAATCAACTCTAACTTATTCTATCCACTTCTCTATACTTTAAGGGTAGGGTGGGCGTGCCTATTCTCCAGTTCTTATCTGTCCAAAGCACTGTACATGGAGGCCATGGGTACTGGCAAGGATAAAGGAAGTAGGAGAAAATGAAGGAAGGAGGGAGGAAGAGAAGATACAGCCAGAATGAGGATGTATTAACTAGTGTCTGTAAGTGGCACTGAGCTGCAAAAGTTTTCTGAGTCACGATGACAATGGACTGACAAAGGTCCTCAACTCCATTTCTGGTCTGGCCTTGAGTCTGATTAGCATTACTCTGCGTTGCTGTGCATAGTGTGGGCAGAGCGTGTGCACAGTGCAGATGGGATGAAATTGGCATCACTCAGAGCTGTTGGGAAAGGCAGGGCTGGATTGATAAAGAGAGGAGCTGTGTTCGTAGACTGGGTTTGAGTGGGAGTCTTGAGGATCAATATGGGTGTGGTCTGAATTTTAGAAGAGTAGCTAAGTACCAAGAGTTGAGAGTAGGTTTGGGTTACACTCAGCTGAAGGCTTAAGTCCATTTTATTTCTAGAACCCACCTACTTTGAGCACTTTTTCTATGTTAAGCTGTAAGTAGGTCTTGAGTGTCGATGAACACGTTGAACATGTTTGGCAGTGTTCAGACCATAGCTGGCCCTGAAAGCAGATGGCTGCCACACCTTCGCTGGTGCACTGGCCCCGCTTGGGTAAACAGTAGGATCGTTTCAAGGATGCTGGCTCTTCCTTCTAGAACCAGCGGGTCTTCTATCACCTGCCAGACCCTTTCATGAAAAATGTGAAGGTGATCTTTTTACTGATGAGAATTCATGAAAACATAACTTTTGGGTACTTTGCTTGGTTGCAGGATGAATTTGACAAGCTGAGGCCTCTCTGCTACACCAACACAGACATCTTCCTGCTCTGCTTCAGTGTCGTGAGCCCCTCATCCTTCCAGAACGTCAGTGAGAAATGGGTGCCGGAGATTCGATGCCACTGTCCCAAAGCCCCCATCATCCTAGTTGGAACGCAGTCGGATCTCAGAGAAGATGTCAAAGTCCTCATTGAGTTGGACAAATGCAAAGAAAAGCCAGTGCCTGAAGAGGCGGCTAAGCTGTGCGCCGAGGAAATCAAAGCCGCCTCCTACATCGAGTGTTCAGCCTTGACTCAAAAAAACCTCAAAGAGGTCTTTGATGCAGCCATCGTCGCTGGCATTCAATACTCGGACACTCAGCAACAGCCAAAGAAGTCTAAAAGCAGGACTCCAGATAAAATGAAAAACCTCTCCAAGTCCTGGTGGAAGAAGTACTGCTGTTTCGTATGATGCTGGCAAGACACCCAGAAAGGCTATTTTCAGATGAAATCGATATTAGAAGCTATATTAGCTGAAACAACTCCTTTTACTGCGTAGAACCTATATCGAGAGTGTGTGTATATGTATTATAGGAGGAGCTCTCAATTTTATGTATTCTTTCTGCCTTTAATTTTCTTGTTTGTTTGAGCTTAGGGATGAGATACTTATGCAAGATATTTTTGAAGTAAATTAAACATTTTTCACATCTCTGGAAATTTAGAGTTCTAGACCTCTGGTTAATTTATATCTAATATGAAGAAGACACCTCTAATCTGGATGTTAAGAATGAAGTTCTGCTACATTATAATGTACAGAAGAGCAAAAGGGAGGAACACTATGGTTAACCCTCTCTTGATTAAGGGCTACTTAATGCACAGTGCATTATGTACACAGGTCAACCATGGTAACAATAGTTCTTAGCTTTGAAACTCCATGCAAACCATGCCTTTTTTTTAAGGAGCAAAAATCTGAGAAAAAAAGTGAGAGACCTCTGCCTACAAAACCTCAAACCAGTCACTTTTGTCAATTGCTAATACCCAGTTACTTATGATTTAAAAACAACCAACAGAAAACATCCCACTGACTGTATGGCACTCTGTAGTCAAAAAAGGAAACTTCCTTATTGGGACTTTTCTTTCTTAGTCCAGTTGTGTTGACACATATGAACACAGACAAAGTGCTATGCGGAGGAAAGCAAGTGTTGGTCAGTAGTTTCATGTTTTAGGGAGTGGTTCCTGTGGAGATCAGAAAGTGACATTTGCTTTCGGTACTGTAATACGTGCACCAAACTGCCTCAATCCTAGGTAACGAGGGCAACAGGGAGCACCTGTCTGGATTGTTTTTAAACCTCCATACTCAAGCTGTCTCTTCGGCAGGGAGGTGAATACTCTTGAAAGGCCAACAGCAAGTGTTTGTGGGACACAACACAGATAATTTTTTCTTAAGTCGGCCAAGATGTACTTCTCTGTGTGCACACCCATGCACACTCATGCACACAGATACATAGGTCTGTATGGCTGTATTTGCTGTTGATTCAGACTTTCACACCATTAATGGGGAAAAGCGTGGCCACAAAAACAGATGCTAGGAAGCTTGGCTTCCTCTTCTTGTTGACCCTTTTTTGAACCAACATCTTTTTTATTATATTCAGAGTATGTTTTTAAGTGTATCTTAATATATACATTTTTTAGGACATCTTAAATCTAAACAAAAAATAAAATGAACATCTCTTGAAACCTGTTAAAACAACCAGTTAAAGCCACAGATGGCTTTCAGGGCAGTAGCAGCAGAGGCCAGTGGACTCTGAGGACTCCTGAGGGGCGGGGCGTGTAGCCAGCCAGGTGCATGCCGGGACCATGGCCCCCATACTTGGCTGCTTCCTGTGACAGTGAAATACATCCTTCAAGGTGGCAGCTGTTAGGGCTGAATCTTCTGGAGAAAAAGGTGCCATCTCAGGAGAATAGCTTTTACTCTGGTAGGAATGCTTCCGAGACACCACAAGGCAGCCTGAACACTCAGTTGCAGGGTCGGGCTTGCGGTGGGTGACCCAGAGCCACCAAAGTCACATCCACAACTAATGAGGGAAATCTGTAAAGCCAGTTAGATAGAAGAATTTTATTTTTCTGTGGGTTTTGTGTTGTCTTTTTTATGTTAAAAAGAAATCCAGTTTGTGTTTTTCTATAGAAAAAGTAAAAGATCAGGTTATACTTTAGGTTAGGGGTTCTATTTATTCCTGTTAGTAAATAAAATTAACAAATTTCTTTGTTTAACAAAAGATTAATCTTTAAACCACTAAAATACATAGACTGATTGATTATTCAACACATTGGAATTGATGTCGGTCATAGTTTCCTGAAGCATTTAGTTACAACCTGAAGGAATAAAATGATTTGTGGAAATGCTTAAAATAGACCTAACTGAATACAGTCTCATCTTGCCGCGCCTGGCTTACCTATCTGTGGAAAGCTAGGCTTCCCAGGCTGGGCTCTGCCTGTCTGGTGCCTGGAGGTGTGGGAGGGAAGATGAGTTATTTAACTGGTAAGCGATTTGAAACACTATTTTTATATTAAAGTAAATGGCATGGAGTATAGTGCAAATTCATTTTTAAGATAGAACACAAAACTTGAAAGAAGTTTTATGCGTGTGACAGTGTATGGGGCTGCAGTTGGTCTCCCTGGAGGGGACTTCCACACCTCCTGCCTTTAGGCCATGGGTGGAAAGTGCTCAGTGAAGTACACCTGTGTGGCCCAGTTCTGAAAGCTTTATACAGTTGAATTTTAAGTGGGGTTGATAACACCTTGGACTGTTAGTGTTAAAAATCTAGTGGGTTGACCTTTAAATGCAACAGTTTTTAAAATATATTGCTGCATTTTATAGAATAGTAAAGGTACGATTATACTTGAGATTTTCCTCCATTTTTATTTCTTCGTGAACATAGAGTTTGGGGCCGAAAATGTTTTTAAAGTATGTGTTTGAGTTAAATATAAAGTTGGTTCACTTCAAAGCTAAAAAATTGTTAAACTTGCAGCTTGGTATTGCAGAGAAGATTTTATAAGAATTTTGCTTTAGAGAATGCCACTTTGGCTGAACTACAAGTGTAGGCCACCATTATAATTTATAAATACAGCATACTTCAAAACTGTTTGTTATCTCTTGTTACCATGTATGTATAAATGGACCTTTTATAACCTTGTTCTCTGCTTGACAGACTCAAGAGAAACTACCCAGGTATTACACAAGCCAAAATGGGAGCAAGGCCTTCTCTCCAGACTATCGTAACCTGGTGCCTTACCAAGTTGTGCTTTTCTGTTTTCAAGTGTAAATGATGTTGAGCAGAATGTTGTACTTGAAAATGCTATAAGTGAGATGGTATGAAATAAATTCTGACTTATGAATATAATGGCTCTTGCCTTTTCTATCTGAGAATTTTGTTGGAGGTGTTTAGCCACATCTTGAAGCAGCACTAGTTGGGAAGCATCGTGGCTTACCCTGAGAGGTGTTTTGGGAATGCATCTCCAACCAATTTGAAGTGCTTATTCATTCAGCATGGGGTTTTCTGAATTCTGGAGCCACAGTCTGACAATAAGCACCCGCCGACTACATGTTCCTCACAGACTGTGTGCTGATGTCCCAGTGTGTTGGAGGGAGCACTGTTCTTGGAGCCAAAAGTCTGGGCTCAGAGAAGCACTAGTGTGAGATGAAGCTGAGACAGCCAGCGATCTGAGCCTTGGTTTCCTCATCTGGAAACAGTACTGCCTTTCTCATCAGGCTATCTGAATCCTGAACATGCAGAGGAGACATCCAAGATCTGTAAATCACCATGAAAGAGGTTAGAGTCAAAGGCACCATGAGCCCTTACCAGCTGTAGAGCTGAGGACCAGGGTTCCCAGGTCCTGAGGGTGCGGAGAGGTGCTGTTGTGTTCTGTGTGATTTCTTCAGGTTCTTGAAGTCAGTCGGTTTTCCCATCATGCCGTGAGGATGCAGCCCTTTTACTGAGGGCTCCGGGAAATGGGACCCTGGGGAGACGACTATTCTGAGGGGCTGGAAGTCTTCTTGCTTTCACCCTCCAGCCTCAAGGTCATCCTGTGAAGGATGGAGCCATCCACTTTGCTCCACATGGCACTGCATAGGCCATGATATAATTTTTATGAGTACCCACCAGATGTTCAGCCACAATGAATGGGAAGACTGCATGGCATGCAAGTGAAACTACTGTACCACCTAATTCCACACATGACTGGGGAGTGCCAAAAGCACCCCAGGCACTGGTTTCCCGGCCTCCACAGGGCAGCTGACCCCAGCCCAGAGGGACTCAAAGGTTTCTCCACACCCAGTCCCAGTCTGTCTCCCGTGTCCTGGCTGGGCCTTCCTGGGACACATGGAAAGCGCATCCAGCCACTGTAGGAGAGGTGACCATGTGATTCACTGAGACATTTATGGATTCAAAGGGAGGGAAGGAATGAGAAGCATCTGGGAGAAAAGTGTTCTAAAAAGAAAGAAGGTTCAAAGGCCCCAAGGCAGAAGGGCATCTGGTATGTCCCAGAGGCCAGTCTGAACAAGATAAAAGGAGTGCAGAGAGAGATAGGGAGATGATGTCAGGATGGTGATAATGGGAGGTGATGGTGGCAACCAGGGACATGGGGAGGAGTCAGGCTGCTTGGGCTT
This sequence comes from Homo sapiens, assembly GCF_000001405.40. Classification (NCBI taxonomy): domain Eukaryota; kingdom Metazoa; phylum Chordata; class Mammalia; order Primates; family Hominidae; genus Homo; species Homo sapiens. Next base: position 228,747,935 of record NC_000001.11, read on the forward strand.
GAATTCTGGCTCTGCCACTTACTGGTTCTGATTCCTTAAGCTACTTAACCTTTTAAGCCTTCTGAGTCCAAACAACTTTCTAACCTCCCAGGTGGATAAGCATGGCACCTACCCAATCAGCTGATGCTTTCATCCTCTGATCAAATGAGGTTATGGATGTAAAGTGCTAGTACACAGTAAGCACTCAGTAAATGCTCACTCTGCATGGTCTTCCTAGTAGACCCCTTTCAATGATTCCTTTAATTTCCTTCACAGCAGGACCCTCAGTCCATCAGCTCAGGTCCCTGTGGGCATCCCACTGAGATGACAATTGACTCCTAAGGGTTTCCATCTTCATTTCTATTAAATTTTATGAGGCTTACACTTTTAATGGATAACACCACATTCATTTTTTTTCATTTCCACTCATTTTTATAAAATCAGAGCAACATTATATAGATCACACTCCTTGTTGCACAGGCTGGCTCTGTGGAACAAAGCTGCCGCGGCTGCTGCTGCTGACCTGGTGGAACTGTAGGGGGTGGGCCACCTCTCTGAAAAATGACAAGTGAATCCTGCAGATGGTGAAGCAGGGAAGTCTGAATTTGGTGTACAAAGGTAGTTTAGGGAGTCAGTAGGCAAGGTTGCAACCCAGGCATCATGTGGAAGTCATGGATCTGCTGTGTTCCCCAGCCTTATGCTGGGCTGTCCCTTGACTCTTGTCGTGCAAGAAGCTTTTGCTGCGGACTGGCACATTCTTACAGTTTTACAGTCATCATTTAACAACCCGAGTCACCCAACCACAGTTTCCCCTGTTATCTGGTACAATGTGCAATACTAATAGTAAAACCAAGTCTTGAAGAGGCATAGCTTGCACATGAAAGATGCATGTGGTTGGGAACCCAATATTTAACTTTAAAAAGGAAACACATTCTGGAGCAGAAGATCCCATTGCCCTTTGTTGCTTTCCTCCTAAATGTCCCACAGGTACTTCAAACTTAACTCATTGTATTAGCTTCCTTCAGCTGCTGTAAGTGGCTTAAAGCAACACAGATTTATTACATTATGGTCTGGAGGTGAGAAATCTGACATGGGTCTCATTGGGCTAAAACCAAGGGGTTGGCAGGGCTGTGTTGCTTTCTGGAGGCTCTAGAGGGGAATTGGCTTTCTTCCCTTGAATTTGGGTACCAAAAATGTTGATGTGAATATTTTACATTTTTAACTGGCTTTGCACAAGGTGGAGAAACATCCCCCATATAGCAACTTCTAGCATTTCCTCTCAATCCAACAACAAGAGGTATAACATCAATGTGGCATATGCTGATTGTCACTTTGGAAAACATTCCCATGAGGGCATGTATTCTTACAGTCCAAGCATGCTGTTTTGGGTGTATTCTTATAGTCCAAACTTAAAGCACAAACAGAACTTAGACATTCTAGTATATCCCTTAGTACACAAGCTTTTGGAAATATCACTTGCATTGATCACTATTTGACAGTTGCTGGATAATAGCTGGTTCAGGGTTTCACTTTAAGACAAGTACCAGTATTTTAAGTGGCTGTTGCGAAAACAATTCATGTGCTTCAGGAGTAAATATAAGAACTGATTTTGCCATGAAAATCAGAAAGATTGACCACTCTTTGCGCTCCAGTTTGTCATGGACTTAGACTATACCAGACCCAGCTGGCTGAGTCAGAATTCTATTTTGAATCTGCTCAAGTATCTCCACTAAGAGATACTCAATAGGAACTTAGAACTGATATATCTAAAGTGTCACCAACCACAGCAATATCAATTGAAATAGTTAGATTGGCTTAACTCATGTATTTATCAAAGGTTTTATTGGTTAAAAAACATACAGAAAAGTCATCTAGAATTCCCTAACTTCTCCCTACTCCGACTGTCTTCCCCCTGTGTCCCTTCTCTGTCCTGGCTCTTCCTGGGTTCCTTTGCTTACTCTGAGATAAAATCTCAGAACAGACCATGAAGCTAGGAGGGCTGCACATAGGCTATTATTGTGCATTAATGATCTAAAACCAGACACAGTAACTGATGAATGGATTTGCAATGCATTTAATTTATCTACACAATTTACCTCCTTTGTTATCTTATTTCAGCCTAAGGGATGAGAATGAGGCGGAGTCATTATATGATTAATTATTGCCTTGTGACAACCTTAAATGATTTTTATGGTTGGCCCTTGTGTGGCTGAGAGCCTACCCAAAGTTAGACAGTCCTCCATGTCACCAGCCACATGGTAAATTGGCCCTGTTTTCCTACTCTGCCCCTTTCTTTACACTGGCTCCTTTTCTAAATCACTTCACCATCACCCCCAAAACTGATCAGGTACTGCTGAAAGCCAAGTGTTTCTATTTCAAAATGGAAACAGTAGAAGGGGATCAATTATTAATCAAGCTAATAATTATTTAGGTAAAGCAAGGAACATTTTTTCTTATAAAAATGTGAATGTGATAGAGGAGACCAGGAAACAGTGAGGGTTTATAAGTGAAGAAATGTTTCAATAAATATAATAATACCTGAAATGAACCACATTCATTTATTGGGCATGAAAAATATTTCACCAATTGCCCTAGCCTGTCTAAATCTCCTCTTGACCAAGTTGTGATGTAAATGAATAAATAAATATATCATGTCTTCTAACCTCACACTATACGTGTGGACATACATAGGATTGGTTGCTATTATCCTTAATTATTAGAGAGAGAAACAAAAAGACTAATTTGCTAAGGGACTTTGCCTGAGATACGTAGAACTATTACTCCTGGAGGATATTTTAAACCTTAATTTCCCTTCTCTGTTTCTGCACTTGTATAGAAAGGATATAGAGGGACTCTTTAAAACCTCCAGTAGAGATACACCAGTTTAGTTATCTATCACTGTGTAACAAGCCACCCCAATACTTAGTGACTTAGAGCAACAGCTACTTATTCTTTCTCATGATCCTGTGGGTGGACGGGGCTCAGCCAAGCACTTCTTTTGCTCAGGTGTACCTGTGTGGTTGAGAGATAACGTGCAGCTCAGCTGGCGTGGACCATCTAAAGGCTCCCACCTTCAGAGCTCCGTGCCTGTGCCCTCTCATCTTCAGCAGTCTAGCTGGAGTTTCTTTATAGCATAGAGACGAGACTGACTTCGCGACAGAGTGTACCACGAGAGGCAGCTCCAGTGCGCAAGGGTTTACCAAGCCTCTGTTTACATCCCGCTTGTTAATGTTCATGGGTCAAAGCAAGACCTAAAACCAAGCCCAGAGACAATGTGTGTGGGGGTGGGGGAAGAAGTTGCGCAGGTACATGAGCCCTGGGCAGTATGTTTGCTTTGGCCTGCCAAGTGGATTAATGTGGGAAAGGGAGGCAATGGCTGCTAGGGCTGGTGCACTCCATTGCTCATGTCTATCTTGGGTGAAGAGAGGTGGATCATATACATTATTATGCAGGTGGAGAATACAACTGGTTTAGAAGTCAGGGCTTTTGGTGGTAAAAGGTGTATTGGTCACCTTTATTCTTTTAGTCAGTGTCTGACTATTGAAAGGGTGAGAAAACATGTTGTCTAAACTGCTGAATCTTGCTCTCTAGGGGGAGAGTGCATGCTTACAGTGAAGGAAAATTGGCACCCTGTTGAATGAGCAGAGGCAGCTGGCTGAGATAGAGGTTGGATGTTTCTTTAGATAGCAGACCTACATTGTAGAATGGACAGAATTCAGCTTTCATTTGGACAACTGGAACAACATAGCACCCAGGATATAGGAAGCCCTTTTTAAAAATGTGTATTAAAATTACTGTGATTATCAGCATGATTCTCAGTGGTTGTGTTCCATACAGAACTGAAACTACTCTCCACCATCCATTACATAGTCATCTCCCAAAGGAGTAGAATTGGTTTACAGAAGGTGGTTTTGTTCTCCACACTGCCCCTCTCCCTGACCAAGGCATTTTCATGGGTAGTTGTGCAACAGGGTGCTATATGACACCATCTGATTTTGACTGATACCGCTCTTCTGACATGCCCTGTCTACATTTTTGAGACATCAGTTTGCTTTTGTCTTGCATGCAATTTGTAATATGCCCACATTTGGGATTTAAATGAGAGTGACTGCTGTGGGGCAGCATGTGCGCAATGACACCAGGACAGGCTGCATGGCACAGAGCTGAGAGGACCAACCGGTATCACCAGGACCCCAGGAAGCCAGGATCCTCATCCTGTCCTTGTCACTGACCAGCTCCATACATTTACAGGATAAGTTTAATTTCTTTGGCCTTTAATTTTTTCAACCTCACCAGGAGCTAAAGTCATGAAATCTCTACTGTTCCTTTTCTCCATTATTTTAAGATAATTAAAATTCTTTTCACCCTTGACCTCCACAGGTTTAGGATTTTTCATTTTAAGCAGTCAATATGACGTTAAGAAATTCGTAGTTCTCACCAAACTCCAAGTAGAGAAAATTATGTCCTGAGATCCTTGGGCTAGGCATGGATCTGGAGACCTGGCCACATGCTCGTGGTCAGAGGCGTGTCAGCAGTGTCTGTGCCGAGACTGGGAAGGAAGAGGCAGCTTTGGAGCTTAAGAGGATGGCGGAGTCCTTGATAAATAAAGGGTTTTCCAGGAAGACAGAAAATCTCTCACTTTCTGATACACAAGGAGTTCAGTGAGTGGAATCTTCAGTAATCAAAACCTGGTTAATATGAAAAAGAAAAAAAAAGAAAGTAAAAATTAGAAAGAAAAAGGATTCACATAGTACAAAATAGAGAAAATAATGAAGCTGATTAAAGAGGGTATGGGCCATGTGAGATTGTTTGTTGTTATCTCCATCAAGAAAAGCATTTGTGATGCATCTATCTGTGCATGCCAATGTGATAATCAGCGCACAGAATCCTTGCCCTTCAAGTACTTACTCTGTCGCATGTGGAAAGTCATCTAGAGATAAATGTGCTTCCCCTTGGAGTTGGGGTTCTCACTGGGATTTCCCAAGTTAATTAGTCTCTCTTGGGGAGCCAGAGTGATCACTTATTGACTCAAAAACAATTAACTTTTTAACAATTAAGCTTAGCCTCCAACCACAAATATTCCACAATTTAAACAACAACACGATTATGGCAAAGATGTGTCAGTCCTTAAGTATTTGTTAATTAGGGACTTTTATCTTGCCAAGCCTCTGAAGAGCTTGACAATTCGATGCTTAACAAATATTGGAAAAATTATTACTGTGCGTGTGGCTTTTGTGGATGGTGAATAAAGAAAGAATCACAGGAATTTTAGGAAGAAGTTACATTTGGAAGCCACCATTAACTACTTATATTAATACTTTCTAATTATAAAATAAATATATTCTCATGTTAAGATTATTAGAAAAACAGAAAAACTTGAAAAAGAGAGGAAAGCAATCATAGTTTCATCACCTAATGCAGATGCCATTATATTTTGCATTTTTTAAAAAATTTGATTTCTTTTTAGAGACAGGGTCTCACTATGTTGCCCAGGCTGGAGTGCAGTGGTTATTCACAGGCATATGTCTAAAGTTCACTACAGCCTTGAACTCCTGGCTTCAAGCAATCCTCCCACCTCAGCTTCCTGAGTAGCTGGGATTGCAGGCGTACACAACCACACTGGCACAGTTTGGCATTTTTAGTCTAGTACTTTCTTTTGTGCAACTATGCTTCCTCCTCACTGTTCCCCTTCCCCTTGCCTACTTATTGTTAGACAAATTTTGTAGGTGTTACCCAGATAAAGCTGGGTCAGTCTGTTCTGCCTTTATGACTTTGATCAAATCAGCTTCAACTCCCCTTCCCATATCCCATGGGAAGTTCAGAGACCTCCTCAGGGTTTCTGGTGTGGACTTCTCACTTGTGCTGTAATGTCCATTTTGACTTTTTTTTTGTCTTGTAAATGTTCTTCAGTCTTTCATCGTAATTTGATCCAAATGAGGGACTGAACCCCTCTCTTTAGCTTTCTCACGTATGAACATCAGCTTCATCCTTCCTCTTCAGAGTAGGAACAATGTGGTTTTGGATATTGACTCCAGATCCAGCCTGAGTCAGTCGTGATAATTCCATTCCTCTGCCAAGAATCATTTTAGGAAACAGGTTTAAGCCAATCAGTGCATGGCATTTCCCTGGTGACAGTTCTCCGTTCAGGAGCAAGTACATTCACTAAATTATTCCAATCAGACTGAAGGAGAGGGGAGTTTAATTCCACAGTTAGATAAGAGACTCTCTCTCCTACTTGTCAAGAATATTGTCCCAGTTGGCAGCTGCTTGCCTCTGTAAGAATAGAGCTCTCAGATGGAGGACAGAGCGAGGAAATAAAAAAGCCTGAACTTCTGAGTCTCCACTTACATGAGCCAACGAAAATCTTTTATAGTTTAAGCTCTCTTGAGACAAACATCCTATTACTTGCTGCCAAAAGCATATTAACTTCTACATAATCTTTCCTCCCTGTGTCTCACCCCCAATAATATTCACACAAATTAGCTGTGTGCTAGAAATTTTCTTGAGATAGGGGTTTATATCTCAGAAATATAAAACATATAATTTAACATTGACTATTGAATATAACATTTTTCTTTTGTCATTTCTGTCTACATTTTTATTTCCTAAGATATGGAGTAATTTGATTTTAAGCAGATTTTTGCTTCAAAGGATCCACTGACCACGGTGACAGAAGCAATAACAGGGGTGTTTCAGGAACACGATCAGGATGTGTAAAAGCTGCTTTTGGAAAAGCACTGTAAGGAAATTATCTTGGAGATGACATGCAAATGGAGCCAACAGCTTGTAGGTAAAGGTGCCTGGGCTCCAAGTCTTCAGAATCTGCAAACTCTGAGTGGGTGTGCCTGTCCTCGGGGAAAAGGGCTCAGGGAGGTGGCTTTATTTCATGCTGAGGCCTTACTATGTTCCAGATTCCCCCGGGGGCTTGGGGATAAAGAATTAAAGATTTATTATCGCCGCTGTTCGCAGGAGGCTCAGAATGAACTGGGCAGATGTCAAGCAGAGCAAGGGCAGAGTGGAGAGAGTAAGGCTCCATCTTTCTGGTTCAAATCTGTGCTTTGCGACCCCTCAGGCCCCTGATCCGTCGCAGCCGGGGTTCAGGAGCCAGCGCGTGTGTTGAAGTTTCTTGGCCCGCTCACCCGGCCGGCGGGGAATCCTGCGTGGCTATGAGGTTTTCCGAGGCCCGGTCGCCCGCCTGGTCTGCGTTTATTTTGGGTTAAAATCGCTCTGAGCCAGTCTGCTCCCCCAGCCTGTCTGAGGGAGGTCCAGGTAGACACCGCCTGCCGCGTCGTTTTCCTTTTGGGTGACTCCCGTCCCCCTCTATCACCTCACATAACTGCATGGGGTAAAGTCGGCGGTGGGTTCAAGTGTTTTGCGCTCCCTCCACCTCCCCCAACCCAGTGCAGCCCCGGATGCTGCGTCTTCATCCTGACCCCGGAATTCTGGGGACCGCGCCATCTCTTGAGACTCCCTGCTCCTCGTGACCTCCCAGGTCAACCCGTGCTCCTCCCCAGTTCTCCACACAGCACTCATTGCCTTGGGAGACCCCCCAACCCTCGTGCTGAAGGAGGTGACCTGCACCTGTTCCGTGACCTCAGTGTTTCTTTTGCACAGATCGCTTCCTCTGGCTGGGCTGGCTGCGGTGCGTTCGCCTTCGCAGCACCACTGGAACTGTTCTTCCAGGCAGGGGCGTCTTTTCCCCCATATCTGTGAATGTGCACGGGGCTGGGTTGGGGACAGAAACCGACAGACTGAGGGACAGCTAGAAAGTCTGGAAGGAGAAGAATGAGATACAAAATAGAGGACAGGTTGGACTTAGAGACTAGCAGTAGAGAAAAAGGGTGAACTAGCAGGAGATGCAGCAGAAGAGCACATGGATTGAAAAGGGCTCTCCAGAGACGACGGGGAGCAAAGCAGGGAGGGGGTACCTTGACTAGGGGTAGCAGAAGTGGTGTGGAAAAGGGAGATACATCAGATAGAGTGAGGGGAATAAAAGAACTGGGACCACAAAAGGCAGAAAGACCTGGTGCCAGGAGCAAAAAAGAGCAATGTGACAGGGAAGGGACTTAGTAAGTGGAAGGAGCCATAGCTCAGGAAGGGGGTTGTGACAGGGAGAGTCAGCGGGGAGGAGATGAGGGGACAGGGATGGGGAGAAAGATGCAGGAATACATGCAGTTAGGGGATAGTCAAAATTTGGGGAGAAAGAATGACAGAAAGTGAAACAGAGAGGTTTCAAATAGAATAGGGCCAAACACCCTGTAGGTGGAGGAAAAGAGAGATGTGAGAAACAAAATAATGAGCAGACATGGAGAGTGAGAAAATGCAGAAATGGATAAAAAAGAAAGAGAGAAGGAAAGAGATATCTAAGGAGAGAGAGAGAGAGAGAGAGAGAGAGAAATGACTTGGGCACTGTACACATGGACTCCAGGAAGATTAGGAGTGGTCAAGCCTTTGTGTCCAGATCCTCAGGGATGGGAGTTTATATTTATTTCTGAAGGGCACACAGTAAATGCTGTTTGACCTTGAAGCTCTGGGGGAGATGACTCTGGGGCTGACGTGTGTGTCGTTCAGTCCATGGTCATGGGGATGGGAAGGACCCTCCACTGAGCTCTCACTCATCCCAGCTATGGAGAGGGGCTTGGGCTTGTCTTCCTGGTCTGGAGAGTGGCCGTCCCCAGCACTGGAACTGATTATCAATGATGCGTGAAGATCACTCTAAGAATTCTTTGTGTAGGGAGGAGGAGGAGGAGGTGAATAAACTGAGATTTGTTCAGTCCTGCTGTGTGTCCTGCTGGGGGCCCCCAGGACCTCTCACCTAAACTGCATCACACCTGATAAGAAAGATATTCCTGGACATGTTTAAGAGATCAGAAAACAGAGGCTGCAGACTTTAAAAACTTTATCTGTAGTGACACAGATTATACGTGAAAGAGCAGGACTTTAAAATGAGATCTATTTGACTCTAAAATGTATGCCTTTTCCTCTAGATTATTATGGCTGCAGTTATATGCTAAAGAGGGGTAAATAAAATGAGAAGCAGCATAGAAGAGAACATCAAAAACAAGTCAAGAGGTAAAAATTAGAATAAGTGAGGAAAGATCAAAAACATTATTAAACTCAGACTAGGCTGCGTACAGTGGTTCACACCCATAATCCTAGCACTTTGGGAGGCTGAGATGGGCAGATAATCTGAGATCAGGAGTTTGAGACCAGCCTGGCCAACATGGTGAAAACCCTGTCTCTACTAAAAACAAAAACAAACAAACAAAAAGAAACCTCAAACCAAATGGATCTCAGACAAAGGATTTATATCAGTCATAGTTTGGTGCAGGAAACGAAACCACTTTAGGTATCTTAAGCGGAAAGATATTTAATACAGGGAACTAGGTGCTCACACAATAATTAGGAGGGTTGGAGGAGTGAGTACTAGTCTGGACTTTCAGGACTTACTCTCAGAACTTTACAGAATGGGTTCTTCTTTAGGGAGCCATTGGAGCCAGAATCTTGAAACTGTTTCTGCTTCAACTGCCTTTCAAATCCCAAGATCTCCCTAGAGCATCCTGGCTGCAAGGGAACCTAGGAAATGCATCTTTTAGTCTTCCAGACTCTCCTGTACTTGAAGATCCTTCAGAGGAATGGAGCAGACCAATCATCAGCACCCACCACAGACCTGTTGTTCCAGATATTTACATAAACAGATAAAGTCATTCATATTTATTCTAGAGGCAAAATGTACTCAATTTCTGCTATGTTATCTCTCAAATTCTCCCTTTTCTTGGCATTTAAAAGTTATTCTGCTTATATACAGGGAAAACCTGTGTAGAAAGGCTTTCTTTAGAAATTAAGAACCTTCTCTTGAAGAAAAAAAGGCTTTGTCTCAGGCTTGGAGTCCTAAGTAGGTAGCAAGAGCAGCCTATGGGGTCTTGGGGAGCAGGGAAAGATCAGGGTTGGCATTACCCTAGAGAGCCGGACCCTGCTGAGCCCAATGGCAAGTGGGCAGTGGTTATAGGAGACCCCATTAATCCGAGGGGATGCTCCAGAATCTGCATTTAGGTCTTGGAGGCATTCCTGGGAGACCTTCAAGCAGGTGGCCTCTTCTTTTCACCCCACATTTTGCCAGGATCCCTGGAGAAAAAGACAGAACAGCTAGAGGTGGCTTCCCTTTCCATGTTCTGTGAAGTGATTTTGTCACAAACAGCTCCTGCTGACCCTCCTTCCCATCTCCAGTGCTCCCAGGGCCTGAAGGAAGTGGCTCCCCCACACAACTGAGGTCCCCACTGCCCTGTCCATCCATAGTAGGTGTCAATTATATTGTACAAACAATTCACAAACATCGGACATTTTATCAGACCCCATTTCCTTATTTCCAATATTATAAGAAATTCAAGTCGAGGCTGGCTTCTGCATAGACATGGTGACCTTTGGGCAGGTGAATTTTGTGAGACTCTGTTTCATGAGGCTAAGCTTTTCCTGGGCACGGCTTCTCAGAAGCCCTGAGCAGGGGAGAAAGCACTCACCAGAGTGAAGGGAGCACAGATTTGCACACCCTTAAGGTTTGTGACCTGTTAAGCTGTGGTTAGGCTGAGAATAAAGCACAGCTTCAATTCCATGTAGAGCTGGCAAAATATTCAGTAAACAGTTTTCCAAGAGCTGAACTAATTATGCAAGAGCCACGTAGCTCTGCTGCCCAGATGGGAGCAGAAGTTCCAGCTCTCGGTCATTGTGGAGAAATGGACTGTCAGAAGCAGAACATTCTGTGACAGTGTGGTGGTTGGCAGCAGAGTGGGCAGCTAGCAGGAGATGGGTCCTGACCCTTCAGCTTGATCTGCTGAGCAGTGGCAAAGAGCATCTCTGCTGGCCTGTCAAATCGTGAGGTGATTCTGGCCGAACTTGTCTCTGCAGACAGTTTCAAGATGGATATGAGAGTCAGGATACCTGTGACTCCACAAGTTCACAAGATCAAAAGGCCCTGTGCCTGTATGATGCCTGTACAGAGCATGCTGGATGTAGCTGATGATGGGCAGAGCTGCTGAAGTGAGGGGAAAGTGCAGTCCCAGAATGATAGGCTACAGTTTGTGACTTTATCAACATCAAGATCAGTAAGATGCAGTAGTTTTGCATTGCAGTTGCTCACTTCCACATTGGTTTTGGTTTCTTCCTACTGTTTTGCGCATCAGAGATTTAGATAGGGTCTAAATGCCTGTATAGGGAGATGATGTACGAGTGGTTAGAGCTCAGACACAAATTTCAAACCCATGGCTCTACCACTTAATTGCTATAGGACTTGGACAGGATACTCAACCTCTCTATGCCTTTGCTTCCTCAATGGAAAAAAAATCCTTCCTAAAAAACTCTCATGTTTGTGAATAGTTGACATGATTACCAGGTTTCTGAAAACTTGCCAGATACTGGAAATTCAGAGGCTTAAAGCTGTCTAGGGTGTGGAGTCATGGGCTTAGTTCAAATCAGTTTAGAATTCTAGCTAGGCATGGGGTGCAATCCACAGATGAAGCAATATTGCTTCAGCAGAGACTCTCTCAGGTCTTCCATAGCCAGAAGACCTCCAGGGGCAGACCCTGGAGCAGGGCACCGCCTTTCTCCCATGTTGTTGTCTTCTAAAATGTCTTTTCTTTTTTTCTCTCTCTCGGATAGGTAGGTAGGTCTTTCCTTTGTTAACAGTACAGTTGACCCTTGAACCATGCTGGGATTAGAGGCACTGCTTCCCCCGCAATAGTCACGTATAACTACTGACCCCTCAAAAAAGCTACTAATAGCCTACAGTTGACCAGAAGCCTTGCTGATAACATAAACAGTTGATTAACATATATTTGGTATGCTGTATATATCAGATATTATATTCTTATAATAAAATAAGCTAGAGAAAAGAAAATGTCATTGAGAAAATCATAAGGAAGAGAAAATATATTTACTATTCATTAAATGGAAGTGGATCACCATAAAGGTCT